>NC_000005.10:177867563-178018008 GCF_000001405.40 Homo sapiens | reverse complement strand
TTAGCTCATGCAAATGAGGACCTACAGTTGTGAGCCACTGTGCCCCGACCTACTTTGTATTATTAAAACACATGCCAAACCTGGCGTCGTGGCTCTTGCCTGTGATCTCAGCACTTTGGGTGGTGGAGACGAGTGGATCGAGGTCTGAAGTTCAAGGCCAGCGTGGCCAAGATGCTGAAACCCCACCTCTACTTAAAATACAAATACTACCCGGGTGTAGTGGCAAGTGCATGTAATCCCAGCTACTCAGGAGGCTGAGGCAGGAGAATCACTTGAACTCGGGCGGCAGAGGTTGCATTGAGCCAAGACTGTGCCACTGCACTCCAGCCTGGGCAGCAGAGAGAGACTGTCTCAAAAAAACAAAATAAAACAAAAAACAAACAGAAAAACATGCCAATAGGATAAAAAAAAAAAAAAAAGACAAGTACTGAGCTTTAAAATGAGTTGAAATCTCCTTTCTGCCACTTCCTATATATAAAAAAACTATCCTAATCTCTTTGAGTCTCACGTTCTCTATCTAGAGAAACACTTGACCAGAATGTTTAACACAGGTTAAAGTACTAGAGGTTATTTTAATTTGTCCTATGATTCCTTAAAATTCTGTAATTCTATGTGCTTTTGATTCTGTCTATAAGAAAACTGGGAATACATAGTCAGCAGATTTTGAAAAAATAATACAACAAAAGAAAGACCAAGAAAAGCAGAGAAGAAAGTTTTACAACATCAAGACAGGATTATAGAAATGTCATGGAAAAAGGAAAAAGTCTAAAAAAAAGTATTATGGAATTAAGCAGAAGTACTAGCCTAAAGGGAAAACCAAACTGGGAAGTCAAATAATTTCTGAGACTTGTCTAATCTTGCTTTTGTAAAATTATAATCCTATGGCCAAACCTTTACTTTGCCCTAAAGCCTTTGATGGTAAAATAAGATATTGGCTACCACTGAAACTGTCAAATTTATGAGGAGAAACTCTTGGACTAACCACATTTCTAACAATAACCTTAAATGAGAGTTAACATACAACCAGATTTGACTGTCTAAATTAATCTGATTCAGACGTGTACCTTGATCCAAGTGCTGCACAGATTTCTATCAATCTATGCTGAGGAGCAAGATAAGGGATCTGGAAGCCAGACAGGCTGATGGTTTAACTGTGGGTCAGCTACTTTGTTAACTACGGGGTCATGAGCCAATTAATCAACCTCTAAACCACAGTTGCCTATGTAATAAACAGTAGGTTATAAGAACACAGATGTTGCAATGGCTTTATGGGATGATAAATGCATAGCACACAATAGGGGTTTAGCCCAGAATACAACACTCAACAGATATGAATCTCTTCCATCTATATTTCCTTAGTTAACATATTTTTTTAAATCTGTAAAATCCTACCTGACTGCATATTCATCAGAACTCCCAGAATCTATTAAAGAAAAAGGTATACTGCATTATAAATCAATAATAATTGTATAGAATATTAAAAGCATAAGAAGGCACAGTGATACATGCCTGTATTCCCAACTACTTGGGAGGCTGAGGCAGGAGGATCACTTGAGGAACCCAGAAGTTTGAGGCCAGCTTGGGAAACAGCAAGACTCTATCTTCACAAAAAAGTTATGCACACTTGTGTGCAGACTTCAGACCATGTTTTTTTCTTTTCTTTTCTTTTCTTTTTTTAAAGCATAGGACTGATGCTTTGTTATATAGCATTCCTTTGGGAGCATAACCGGGACCTTATTAGAATTAATATTAATTATACCTATTAGTAGATAATTAATGCAGTAAGAACTCTTACTTCCCTTACTTTGTATTTATTAAATGCAAAGAAGAATAAATTTATAAAATTTGATATCTACAAGTGAACCGCAGTATACAAGTTATCCTAGCCAAACCCTGTGAGATTGACTAAAAATGGTATTGTTAGCAGAACAGGTGTGATGAATGAACAGTGTCAAAGAGCATGATTTCAGGACCAAAACATGACGGGCAGTTCAAACAGAGTATACAGTAGTACCCCTTGTCCACTGTATGTGTGGAAAAGACACATTTGACCTGTTTTTCTCTGCTGTCACGTCACAGCAACAATAACAAAGAAGTCTCCTGTGACAAAACGTGTGGAGGGTTTTTCTCCACCAACAAGTAAGCAATCATTTCTGCCGATGACACAAACTGGGCATCCTCTAAGTCAATTCTCACACTCTATCTGCAGATAGCATCAGATTGCACAGGTAAAGGGCTCAGTCCCATGAAACTGCCTCCCTACATCAGTTGTAGGTCTGAAACTCCAGAACTTCTGGCCAACTGTCTTCAAATTGAGGTTCCCAGGACTCCCTCTTTGGGTTAAATTGAATTGCTAGAGTGGCTCAAAGTACTCAGGGAAACACATTTACCAGTTTTCTATGAATGACATTACAAAAGATACAGATGAAGAGATGCATAGTGCAAAGTATGGGGGAGGTGGCACGGAGATTCCATGCCCTCCCAGGACACACCATCCTGTAGGAGCCTCCATGCATTCAGCCATCTGGAAGCTCTCCAAGCCCAGTCACTTTGGGTCTTGATGAAAGCTTCATTATATTGGTATCACTGATTAATCACTGGCCTTTGGTGACTGACAACCTTCAGCTCTTCTCTCCTCTCCAGAGTCTCCTGAATGAGACAGAAGATCTCAACACTCTAATCAATCATGTCTTCAGGATGGTGACCAGTTCCCATCCTGAAGCTACCTAGGGGCTTCCAGCCATGGATCATTAGCATACAAAAAAACATCACTTTGGAAATCCTAAGGATTTTAAGAATTGTACCCAACAAATGAGTTAAGATCCAGAGATTTTACATCTGCAGTTTTGATTTCTGTGGTTACAGTTACTAATAGTCAACTGTATTCCAAAAATATACACGGAAAACTCCAGAAATAAAGAGGTCATAAGTTTTAGTGTGCCATTCCGAGAAGCACAGTGAAACCGTCAGCACCCTCTATCCAGCCCAGGATGTGAATCGTCCTGCAGTGCACCCACACTGCACATGCTGTCCACCCGTTAGTCATCAACACGGTCTCCTCCTGTAGCCCGCCGCCAACATCAAGGCCTGACGATCTAGGATCACGTCATTCACCTCAGTTCATCTCATTACACGGGCATTGTATCACTTCACATCATCACAAGAAAAAGGGTGAGAACCAGCCGGGTGCAGTGGCTCACACCTGTAATCCCAGCACTTTGGGAGGCCGAGGCGGGCGGATCACGAGGTCAGGAGATCAAGACCATCCTGGCTAACACGGTGAAACCCCATCTCTACTAAAGAAATAAAAAAAAAAAAAATTAGCCGGGCTTTGTGGTGGGCGCCTGTAGTCCCAGCTACTCCGGAGGCTGAGGCAGCAGAATGGTGTGAACCCAGGAGGCAGAGCTTGCAGCGAGCCGAGATCACAGCATTGAACTCCAGCCTGGGCGACAGAGCGAGACTCCGTCCCAAAAAAAAAAAAAATGGGTGAGAACCGTACAATATATTTCAAGAGACCACATTCAAGTAACTTTTATTACAGTATAATTTGTTATTTTATTGTTCGTTTCTTACTGTGCCTAATTTATACATTAAATATTATCATGGTTATGTATGTGTAGGAAAAACCAGTGGGTGATTCAGTACTATTTGTGGTCTCAGGCATTCACTGGGGGTGTCTTAGAATGTTATCTCCCATAGTTAACGGGGAACTACTGCACTTATTTTGTTGTAACACAACACAGCCTCTCTAGCTCTTCAGTTAAAACTTTTCAGTATAGAATCAAACACCCTATCACCAGAAGCCAGCAGAATGTAGGAATCAGACCAGCAACAGGGATCCTTGCAAAAACTTTCCAGCTGCCAGTGGAGAAGAGCTCAAGAGAGCTCAATGTGTTACTCTGGATACTACTCTTCTGGGGAAGGTGCTGGGTGGTTTCCTTAGTTGTAGCTATATACTCTGCCCTACGTATAAGAAGGCCCAAATTCACCTGCCATTTTACCTCCCACGGAAAGAACCACTGGAAAGATCACTCCTTTAAGAGCTTATACACTCGGAACCACGCCTCACATTCAGAGAGAAGCTTAAGAAACACCGGCGAGGTGTGCCAGGCTGCCAGGCAGTACTATATGATGTGAAAAATATACAGAAAGAAAACTATCAATGCCCTCTTGCTGCCAGAATGTTCCAATGCTTGCCCCTTTCCCTAGTAGGAGAAAAAAATTCTTTTTCACCTCACATAAAGCAAAACTGCCGTCCCTCACGACACAGAATCTAGTTGCAGGTGAGTCATGTCATCATAACACAGACTGTTTTCAAAGTCATCCCTCAAAGGAAGAGGATCAGTGAGGAACATATGTATTTATCTATAACATTCACTGCCTGGTCTTATTTCCAACCCAAGGTAAGTATGAAAGACTTTGTGATTCCAGTTTTTTAAAGTACAACCTCTTGAGCTTCTCCCCTTCCATTGCTAGGGAGTCTATCTGGACCCACCTCACTGGAGCAAGATGCTCCAGTTTGTGCTGTGTGGTATTGCATGGTGTCATTTTCCTCAACCCTTTCCATTATGTGGCAAAGGCCTATACAAATCATGTTTCCTAAGTATGTAAAGCATATGTCATCAGACCTTACAAAGACAAAGAAGCTAAAGAAAAACAAAAGGACAAAGAACATCTTAAATGACTACATTCAATTACCATGGAACTTTACTTTTTTAACTATTCAAAAAGATATCCATTGTATTATTTCAACTATATGACTCTCCTGAAAAAAGTAAAACTATGAAGACAGATAAAAGATCAGTGGTTTCCAGCAGCTGCTAGGGAGAAAGGGAGAGATGAACAGGCAGAGAATAGAGCATTTTTAGGGCAGTGAAACTGTTCTATCTATAATAAATAGACACATGTCATTATACATTTGTCCAAATTCACAGAATGTACAGTATTAAGAATGGAGCCTGATGTCAACTATGAACTTTGAGTGATTATAATGTGTCAATGTAGGATCATCAGTTGTAACAAATGTACCACTCTGGTGGAAAATACTAATCATGGGGGAGGCCGTGCATGTGTGGGAGGCATGGAACAGAGGAGAAATCTCTGTACCTTCCTCCGATTTTGCTGTGAACCTAAAACTGCTATAAGAAATAGAGTTATTGATTTAAAAAACATATTCACTGTCTATGCATCCCAGGATTTCCAGAACAAAAATAAAAAATAAAAGATATTCACTGAATCTGTTATTATGATATATTTAAGCAGGACACAGTGGTAACCCTAAAAATTGGAGATCATTAAAGACCAAAGTAACAGCATGTGGGCATGATTTCTCAAATCGCAGTATAGAAAATGCATAAAACAAATAAATTCAATTGCAAGCTTAGGCAAGAAAATATTGATAAAATGATTAAATATCTTATTTCCTAACTCTAAACAGGGATTTAGCACGATATGAAAACTAGATTCACATAATCAAAATAAAAGACCATTTTTATTCCAATTTTAACTCAGAAATTATTATGCTTATTCAATTTAACACTTTCACTGAAAGGTTAAAGAGATAAGAAGGACAGATTATAATTGCTTAATATTGCTATGGTAACTTCCATTCAAATACCTGTGAGTCACCAGAAGTCAAAAAGGTAGCCAGCATTGCAACACAGGATGGATCATGCAACAGAAACTAGCACCAGGTTACCTTATCTTATAATATTATTTGCTGTTAAAATGAAATTTTAAAACAGCACCAAAAATTAAGTTGGGGCTAAAACTGTTGTGCAGGAAAGATTTCATATAGCAGGAGAGAGACTGCCGTCCTTAGAAAGACCCGCATGCAAGCCTGGCCCTTGGCTGTTGTTTAGGAAATTGGAATTGGGAGGGTTCCCACCATGCCCTAAGACTGGTCACTGTGTCTAAAGTGTTTATAGAAACAATGCGGTTACTTCTGAGCAGCTGCTTTCCTTCTGAGAGTCGGAATGTGGGTACATATGAGGGAGAGTAACCTCCATAAAAAACACTTGGGTACTGAGTCTCTAATGAGATTCTGGGACTGGTAGACATCACTGCACATGGGTTGTCAAAATGTGAGGCTGGGAGAATTAAGCAGATCCTGGGAACTCCACAGGAGAGAACTTCTGGAAGCTTGTGCCTGGTTTCCTCCAGACTTGACCACCACATGCACCTTTTCCCTCTCATTTTGCTTGTACCCTTTCATTGTAATCAATTAAAGATCTGAATATGATTATTTGCTGAATCCTGTGAGTCCTTCTAGTGAATCACCAAACCTGGGGGTGGTCTTGGGAACCCTTGTCACAAATGCATTATATAAGGTTTTTATTAAGTTGACATGACCTATAATCAGATGGTTATTTCACAGAATAACTTTCCCTAATCTGTTTTTCTTTTCTTTCCTTGATATTTGACTTGGAGGTTCTTGTATTTCTATACTCAACTGATTAAAGCCATAAAAGAAATAAGTGAAGCAATTGTTAGAAAATAATGGGAAATAAGCAGCAATCCTAGTTTTACCAGAATAAAAAATAGGGAATCTTGATGATTGACAATATGTTCTACAATATGAATGTTTCTAGAAAAAAAAATGAAAAGGTGGTCAATTTTCTGCAACTCAACTGGGCTTAATTCCTTTTTATAATAATTGTGCAGGCCAGGTGTGGTGGCTCACATCTGTAAAATCCTAGCATTTTGGGAGGCCGAAGCAGGAGGATCACTTGAGCCCAGAAGTTCCAGACTTCCAGACCAGGCTGGGCAATATAGTGAGGAAAAAAAAACCTTAAAAGGAAAATTAGCCAAGCGTGGTGGGGCATGCCTGTAGTCCCAGCTACTTGGGAGGCTGAGGTGAAAGAATCATTTAAGGCCAGAAAGCAGAAGTTGCAGGGAGCCAAGATAGATCCCACCACTGCACTCCAGTACTGGCAACAGAGGGGGACCTGTCTGAAAAAATAATAATAATAAAAATGAATAAATAAATAAATGATTGTGTATCCAGCTAGATGTAACTACACATGGCTACAATCCCAGCTACTCAGGAGGATGAGGTAGGAGGACTGCTTGAGCCCAGAAGTTCCAGGCTACAGTGAGCTATGACTGTACCACTGAATAGACACCGTATTCTAGCCTGGGCAACATAGAGAGAGCCCATCTCTTATAATAATGATAATAAATTAATTGTGCATCATTCAAGTAACTTGTATAACTGGAAAAAAGCATAACCATTGAATATAGTATAATAGTATAATAGTATAACTACTGATCATAGAGTTCCTTTTACTTGCCCCTAATCTTTTCATTTCTCATAAGACTAAAACATGGTTGACCCATTCAAGGCAGTTCATCACAGAACAAGTCAAAAAGCCAAAAGAATTGCATGCAAGCTGTAGGCTGTGTTATCCACTACTCCCTGCAAGCAGTGGATTTGGTCATTAACAATCAGCAGGACTTTTAACTTTGTGTGCGTGTGTGTGTGTGCGCACCCGAACGCACATGTGTGTATGTGCACGTGTGTGTGTAAACTATGACAGATAAAACCATTTTGCTTATGTAAGAATATGTAACATAACTTGTGCTTCTCACAAAGGAATTGCTTTTCTGTTTTCTGCACTCAGTAGGTATCTTCAAAAAATAATCTCCTATTCGTATGGGTGCACACTGGTTCACTTTTACAGTTCTTACTGCCATTTATTTATTCTACGAGAAAGGGATTGTTGAGTTCCCGGTTCTAAAGATACTTCCTTAGTGACACAAATTAACAGGTAATACAGTTCACCCTTGAACAGCAAGGGTTTGAGCTGCAGGAGTTCATTTATATGCAGATTTTCTTCTGCCTCTGCAACCCAGAGACAGCAAGACCAACCTCTCTTCCTTCTCAGCCTGAACAACCTGAAGATGATAAAGATGAAGACCTTTGTGAGGATCCATTTACGCTTTATGAAAAGTCAATATATTTTTCCTGCAGATTTTCTTTCTAACAGCTTCACTTGTCTAGCTTACTTTATTGTAAGAACACAGTATATAATAATGCAGCACAAATAAAATAGGTGTTAATCGACCGTTTATGTTATCAGGAAGGCTTCCAGTCAATAGTGGGCTATTAGTAGCTAAATTGGGAAAATCAAAAGTTATACTTAGATTTTCAGCTGCACTGGAATCAGAGCCCCTAACCCCCAAATTATTCATGGGTCAACTGTAATTATGTATTTACTAAATATAAACAATTTATTATAAAAATAAACAACTTATTACAAAAATGAACTAGAAGATCCATATGTATAACAAGTCCAATTTGTTACAATGTGACTATAGAGAAAACATAAATATTATATAGGATTTTCGGGATCATAATTAAGTAAATGATTTTTTTTCAGATAATACTGTTTGAGATTATAAATCAGCTACAACTACCTTCTTAAATAACTCTTAATTCCAAACTAAAGAAGTTAAATATAAGAAACTAATTTACATGTATGTATATATGTATATATACATGCAATTTACACATCTTTTTAAACTTTTCTTTTCCTTCAAAACTACCTTAATCTTACATCTTAATTTTTTTAAACCAAGAGTAGGACCACCACGAGAAATGAGAAATTCACTATCAGAAGTCTTACCTGGATTGTAAGTTTTAAGAATCTTCTTTTTAAGTTCCAAAATTTGGTGTCGAATTCTATATATAAAAAAGTAATAAATAAAATTGCTATTTTAATACTGAAATAAAAGTTACCATATTAAATTCTTAATGTTTGGTAAATGTATAATCAAACTGATTCTTTTTTCCTCGCTGGCTAAAACAAAATACATCTTTGCACATCAACGTACTTCTATATCTATTGTCACCTTTGATGGTCACATATTATTGCATCCTATGGATGCAACTGAAATTTACTTATAAGATCCATTCTATGGGTTCTTTTTAAAATAAGTGCTGTGAAAAACAAAGTGCATGTATCTCTATTTCCCAAGGGTATTTTAGTATAATGGAATTGAAGGGTAACGGGCATACGCATTTTTAAAATATAGTACTTACCACCAAATTATCTATTTAAAAAGTAATCAGCAACTTAAACTTCAGGCAGCAGTATAAAAAACATCCTCACACATTGTGGATAGAAAACAGTTTCATTCCTCTTTTAATTTAAATGCTTATACCAGAAAAGCAAAGGCTTTTTTTCCTATTTACATAAGAAACTTGTAGATCTGCAAAAAAGTACTTTGCCCCCTTTTACAGTTTTTGATTATTTGATTTGAAAGAATTCCCTGTAAAATGAAGATGCACTTTTCAGGCCGGGCGCGGTGGCTCACACCTGTAATCCCAGCACTTCTGGATGGCGGCTCACTGCAAGCTCCCCCTCCCGGGTTCACAGCATTCTCCTGCCTCAGCCTCCGGAGTAGCTGGGACTATGGGCGCCCACCACCACGCCCGGCTATTTTTTTTTTTTTTTTTGTATTTTTAGTACAGACAGGGTTTCACCGTGTTTGCCAGGATGGTCTCAATCTCAATCTCCTGACCTCGTGATCCGCCCACCTCGGCCTCCCAAAGTGCGGGGATTACAGGCGTGAGCCACCGCGCCCAGCCCTAAAATTTTTACAAATATCATTACAATAGTAAAAGACAGTAGGTGTCATGCAAAAATGTTAAAACCTTGATTTTTTCATTCGGCTTATGTAAAATTGATAATCACAGAAAGAGCTCACATTTTGAGAAAAATGTGTCTTCCCATTCAGGAACACAGAACCCACCTCCCACTTCCAAGTTTCCTTCTAAGAACCTTCAGTAAAGAACCGATCTACACAGGTGGATACGGATGTAAAACGGACAGTTTTAGGTGAGAGCTTTTCGCTACTGAAAATGACTCACGGTTTTTTTTTTTTCTTTTCTTTTTTTGGAGACGGAGTCTCACTCTGTCGCCCAGGCTGGAGTGCAATGGCGCGATCTCGGCTCACTGCAAACTGCGCCTCCCGGGTTCACGCCATTCTCCTGCCTCAGCCTGCCGAGTAGCTGGGACTACAGGCGCCCGCCACCACGCCCGGCTATTTTTTTTTTTTTTTTTTTTGTATTTTTAGTAGAGACGGGGTTTCACCGTGTTAGCCAGGATGGTCTCGATCTCTTGACCTCGTGATCCGCCCGCCTCGGCCTCCCAAAGTGCTGGGATTACAGGCCTGAGCCACCGCGCCCGGCCGACTCACGGTATTTTTTGATAGAGGAATGAGTTCTCTCATTAGGCACCTCCTATAATGTATATAACATCATGTTTTAAACGTGTAGGTTAAAAATAACACTGTGTATGCTTAGCTTGGTGAGTTAAATCACTCACATTCTCCACCAAGCGCTCCAGCTGGGGAATTATGGGGGATGCAGAGCAGCTGAGGCTCCGTTTGGCACCACCCCTCTGAGGGTGCCCTCCGAGGCCCCATCCCAGGGGCTGCGGGGAAGCCGGGCCTGGGGACCCCCTCCCACCCTGGGCTGAGCCCACACCCCGCTGCCTGTGCTGCCTGTCCCCGGCTTCCAGGTCTCCGCTCCTGCGCGCCAGGCAGCGCTCCACTTCCGCGGCTTCGCCCTTGACAGCGCCCTGTGGTTCTTCCGATTCGGTACCCCGAACCCCTGTAGACGTGGCCTAGGGAGCCCCGGACCGCCGGCCCCTGCGGCTCCCAAAGCCGAATAACTTCTTCAAGGTGGTGAGTTCTTCTCAGACCCCCAACCACTGGCTCCTGAGCCGCGGCAGCTCCGTGTCACCCTTTCACTCCCCCTCGCCCCACACCCAGCCCCAAATCCCCAATCCAACTCCAAATCCCCTATCCAAACCCCAATCCGCGATCCAACCCCCAATCCGCGATCCAAACCCCAATCCGCGATCCAACCCCCAATCCGTGATCCAACCCCCAATCCGTGATCCAACTCAAAATCCCCGATCCAAATCCCAATCCGCGATACCAAGTCTGCGATCTAGCCCAGAATCCGCGATCCCGCCTGGTCCGCCCTTCAGCAGCGACACTGGCGGCCTCCGACCTCTCAGACCTAGTGAGCCTCGCAAAGCCGCCCGGCTCCCGGAAGCCGCAGGTGCAGGCGCCGCTGGGCTCGCGGGTTCTCCTGGGCTGGCCCGGGCTGCCCCAGGACCACGGACGGAAAATCGCAGGCGCGCGGCCCACCCCGCCTTAAGGGGAGGGCCCGTCTGGCCGTGTAGCCCGCCCCGCTCCTCCTTCCGAAGAGAGATCTGGTGCTGGCATGGGCACCCCGCGGCCACCGGAGTGGCTTCCCGGATAAGCCTGGCTTGGGCGCTGACGCTCTGGCCCTGGGGGCTGCCTGGCTGGTGTCAGGTAGCGGAAGACGCCTGGAGAGTCACTCGCTCCTTCCCCCACCCGCCCCCACCGCTGCTCGTGCCAGGACGCGCAGTTTGCAGTTGCAGCTCAGGCACTGGCGCGGGATGGCGGAGCTTCCCTTGGATGGCGTCAGGGTCACCGAGTGCACAGCCTACCTGGTCTGAGGGTCTGCTCCTCCTGGACACCTCTCCGGATCCTGATCCCTGGCGCTGGGCAATCCACAGGATGAGACTCATCGGCTGCTGGCGAAGCCGACCGCCTGACTTTGCTGCCTGGGCGGCTGGCCCCGGGATCCGCGCTGCTGGGGACGCGGGCCTGGTCTGCGGTGTCCAGCCACTTGCTGCGGGCGCGCCACGTCTAGGCTGGTGGCTGCAGCCGCAGCTCCGCGCCTGCGGGGGCTAGTGGGCCTGGTACCTGATGTCCTCAGGGTCAAGTGCATCGCTCACCCACCTGAGGGTCTGCTCTGCCTTGACCTCCTCCAAGAGCGCAGGGGCCACCGGGGAGGCAATTTAGGAATGCCTAAATGGAAGGAACTATCCTTTCTCTGTCTTTAAGAAATAAGTGGCTTTTGTTGTTGTTGTTTTTGTGATACCCAGCTACAGCAGAAAGCAAAGGGGATGCAGAGGTGAAGGTCCACAGCCAGTTCCTCTACTGATTCCCTCCAGGCATAAATGTTCAATCTAACGGCTTTGGTTGGCACTTTCACCTCAGCACTTACCTATGCCTACAGGTTTGTTCAATCGCAGCTCTTCGATTTTGAATTATTTAATACCCAATTATTGCATAATTTAATAACCAAACTATTTTAATAGTTTACCATCTCTGCAACCCTGAATTAATTTTTTCTTTGTTTATAAAACAATCGCTATAGTAAGATAAAAATCACAAAACACTTCCACATTTCATTGGGTTAAAAAAGCATTAAAACATTACACATAAAAGATAAAAAACATATTTGTTTCATCATAAAAATTATGGCTTTGCAAAATTTTTTTACATTTAGCTACATTCTTACGATTCTTTAACTTTTCACTGTTATTTTATACATTTTTAAAACAATGCATACCAGTGTTTAAAAAATAAATGCAGCATTTCATCTAGGACTGAACATATAACGCTGGTCAGCTTTTTCAGCATGGTGCAGGTGTGGGCCTCAGGCTGCTTTCTGTTTACATGTATCAAATGACATGACCATCTTAACTGCACAGATACCATCTTCTCGGCTTCTTTCTTCTCCCCCAAAACTATTTAATGTTGCTTTAATGGCAACATCAATTTAACTAGTTTTGTAATTTCTGTACTTAATTGTCACATAACATTGTATCAGTTCTTTTTTTTTTTTTTTTAAAAAGGAAAGCATACAATCTTAGTTGCTGGGCCAGTTCTTCTGAATCAATTTGAAATCACCTTTTTTCTCTTTCATAATAACTACTTATTTTAATCAATGAGTCAACAATCATTAGATATTAACTTATTTTTTCTAGTTAAAATTTTGCTATCTTTCAAATAATTCCAACTCTTACACACACATTTAATGTACATAACTGTAACATATACATACATAAGCACAGGTTAAGCCAGATCTAACATGAATTTAGATATGCCAAGAAAGCCACATGACCATTATTTACATAAATATGACCAGTGTTCACATTTATCAAGGCCAATGAATATTAAGGTGATTGCTTCAATAAGAAATTAGGTGAAGAATTATTTGTTGAATATTGTCAAACACTTTTTTTACCTGTTAAAATTATTTAAGCCTGACCCAAATAATTTTTAAACTTTTTATTCTATCATGCCTATAGACAGCTTCATATATTAACCATTTCTGCTTTCGTGGTCCTTTGAGAATGGTATCTTAGTATGTAAGTGCAATAAATAAACAACTTTTAAAGGAATAAAGAAAATTGATATAAATTAGTCTGGAAAATCTAGTCTGTAGCTGGGCAGCCAGGTGCCCCCAGCTAAACCTCAAGGGATGGTTCTGTTAAAGTGAAGAAAAGAAGAATAGTGTGTAACAGAAGCCCGCTCTGTGGCTCCAGGTTACAGCTGTGGCCACCCAATCTGCCTTGTGCCTCCTTCTTCTCACACAGGACACACTCATCCCAGCCCCAAGCAAGAAAGACCAAAGTCCCTTGCCAGGCGCGGTGGCTCACGCCTGTAATCCCAGCACTTTGGGAGGCCGAGGCGGGTGGATCACGAGGTCAGGGGATCGAAACCATCCTGGCTAACACGGTGAAACCCTGTCTCTGCTAAAAATACAAAAAAAGCCGGGCGTGGTGGCGGGTGCCTGTAGTCCCAGCTACTCTGGAGGCTGAGGCAGGAGAATGGTGTGAACCTGGGAGGCGCAGTTTGCAGTGAGCCGAGATCACGCCACTGCACTCCAGCCTGGGGAACAGAGCAAGACTCTCTCTCAAAAAAAAAAAAAAAAAAAAAAAAGAAAGACCAAAGGCCCCTTCCGTTACTGTATCCAACCCACAGTGCAGGTCCTGTGGGCCATGTGCTATGCATCCCACCTGCATTCCACCTGGTTCACAAGTGGCTCCTTGATGTCCAGTGACCTATGAAAAGTCATTCGTTAGGCCAGATGTGGTGGTTCATGCCTGTAATCCTCCCACTTTGGGAGGACAAGGCGGGCGGATCACCTGAGGTCTGGAGTTTGAGACCAGCCTGACCAGCATGGCAAAACCCTTTCTCTACTAAAAATACAAAAATTAGACAGGTGTGGTGGCACACGCCTGTAATCCCAGCTACTCAGGAGGTTGAGGCAGGAGAATCACTTGAACCCAGGAGGTGGAGGTTGCAGTGAGCCAAGATTGCATCACTGTACTCTAGCCTGGGCACCAGAGCAAGACTCAGTCACAAGAAAAAAAAAAGGCCAGGTGTGGTGGCTCACACCTGTAATCCCAGCACTTTGGGAGGCCAAGGCGGGAGGATCACGAGGTCAGGAGATCAAGACCATCCTGGCCAACATGGTGAAGCCCCGTCTCTACTAAAAATACAAAAAAATTAGCTGGGTGTGGTGGCCAGTGCCTATAATCCCAGCTACTCGGGAGGCTGAGGCAGGAGAATCACTTGAAGCTGGGAGGCGGAGCTTGCAGTGAGCCGAGATTGCGCCACTGCACTCCACCCTGGCAACAGAGCGAGACTCTGTCTCAAAAAAAAAAAAAAAAAATCTAAAACCATTTTGATATTTGGGGAGGACAAATTCCTTCCTCTTGGTTTTTGTTTCTCTGATTATTTGTTTTTAAAAATAATCTTTACTTTTTTAACCTTTACTTTTCCATACATATTTTAAAATCAGGCATTCAAAATCTATGACAAGTCTTTTAGATTTTGACTAAAATTATATCAAATGTATAGCTTAACTTGAGGGAGAATTGACACCCTTCAATACTGAGTATTCTGTCAATGGACTATCTTCTAATTTGAGTTATCCTTCATGTCCTTCAGTATCTTTTTTTTTGTGTGTGTGGTTTTTGTTTGTTTTGTTTTTTGTTTTTGAGACGGAGTCTTGCTCTGTCACCCAGGTTGGAGTACAGTGGCAAAATCTTGGCTCTCTGCAACCTCCGCCTCTGGGGTTCAAGCAATTCTCCTACATTGGCCTCCTGAGTAGCTGGGATTACAGGTGTGCACCACCATGCCTGGCTATTATTATTAATTTTTTTTTGTATTTTTAGTAGAGATGGAGTTTCACTATGTTGGCCAGGCTGGTCTCAAACCTCTGACCTAAGGTGATCCACTCTCCTTGGCCTCCCAAAGTGCTGGGATTGCAGGTGTGAGCCACCGTGCCTGGACTAGTTTCATTTTTATAACTTCTTTATCCCCTAAATTTCTTACAAATCTTTGACAATATTGCTAGTTATGTACTATTATGAATTTTTTTCTGTTGCATTATTTAATTGGCTATTGCTGGTATACTGGTATATGTAAATGTAATTGATTTTGTTTTTAATCTTGCATTTAGAAATGTTTCGATCTTTTTCTAACAATTTTCTGTATATGCTCTTGAATGCTTTATACTGACAAAGATATGATCTATAAATAATGAAAACAGGCTGGGCGCAGTGGCTCACACCTGTAATCCCAGCACTTTGGGAGGCTGAGGCAGGCGGATCACCTGAGGTCGGGAGTTCGAGACCAGCCTGACCAACATGGAGAAACCCTGTATCTACTGAAAATACAAAATTAGCCAGGCGTGGTGGTGCATGCCTGTAATCCCAGTTACTCGGGAGGCTAGGCAGGAGAATCACTTGAACCTGGGAGGTGGAGGTTGTGGTGAGCCGAGATCGCGCCATTGCACTCCAGCCTGGGCAACAAGAGAAAATCTGTCAAAAAAAAAAAAAAAAAGGAAGAAGAAGAAAGGAAGGAAGGAAGGGAAAGAAAGAGAGAGAGACAGACAGAAAGGAAGAAAGAAAGAAAGAAAGAAAGAAAGAAAGAAAGAAAGAAAGAAAGAAAGAAAGAAAGAAAGAAAGAAAGGAAAACAATTTTCTTTCTTTCAAATCCTCATACCTCTTATTTTTTTCTTGTCTAGTTGGATTGGCTGGGACATCCCGGACAATGTTGCATAGCAGGAGTAAAGGCAGCCAGCCCTGTGTTTCTTCTGATTTTAGGAGAACGCTAATTACATTTTATCATTTAAGAATGACAAGTTTTTGACAGATTACTTTTATCAAAATATCTTGAAGGTTTCAACGGATAGCCTTTATTACATATTTTGCTAATAGTTATATCATATAAAAATTTGAATAAGGCTGAGCACAGTGGCTCACGCCTATAATCCCAGCACTTTGGGAGGTTGAGGTGGGTGGATCACTTAAGGCCAGGATTCGAGACCAGCCTGGCCAACTTGGCAAAACCCTGTCTCTACTAAAATACAAAAATTAGCCAGGATTGCTGGCATGCACCTGTAATCCCAACTGCTTGGGAGGCTGAGGCAGGAGAATCACTTGAACTCAGGAGGCGGAGGCTGCTGTGAGCTGAGGTTGTGCCACTGCACTCCAGCTGGACAACAGAGCAAGTCCCTTCTCTCAAAATAAATAAATAAATAAATAAATAAATAAATAAATAAATAAATAATAAATAAAAATTGAGGCCAGGCACGGTGGCTCACGCCTGTAATCCCAGCACTCTGGGAGGCTGAGGCAGGCAGATCACCTGAAGTCAGGAGTTTGAGACTAGCCTGGCCAACATGGTGAAACCCTGTCTTTACTAAAAATACAAAAATTAGCCGGGTCTGGTGGCAGGCACCTGTAGTCCCAGCTACTCAGGAGGCTGAGGGAGGCAAATCACTTGAACCCAGGAGGCAGAAGTTGCAGTGAGCCCAGACTGTGCCACTGCACTCTAGCCTGGGCAACAGACTGAGACCCTATCTCAAAAAAAAAAAAAAAAAAAAAGAATAAGTGTTGAGTTTTATCAAATGCTAGATAATCATATGGTTTTTTATTGGTTGATGTGATGAATTATTTACTATGAGCCTATTCTTATTCTCTTCTTTTTGCTAAGGTGTAAACCTTAGCCTTTTAGGACGTCATTCTACTCGTATGTCTTATATATTTCCTTTTGTTCAATATACTAGTATCTTTACATTGTCTTTTCTGAACAGATGAGCTAAACAAAAACTTGAATTCCTTTCTTTGATAGAGTCTTCATAGGGCATTCTTCATACCTGCTCAAACACAGAAGGAAAGTTCTAGTATTGTGCTCATTTTGCGAATGAGGAAGGTAAGGCTTAAAGTGATGAAATTGCTTGCTGTGGTCACACAGCAAGCAAGGGCTGGTTCTAGAATTTGAATTCAGACAACCCGACTTGCAGGATGTTCTTCTAGGATCAGAGTATCCTTAAGGGACACTCTTCCCACAGAATTTCTTTACTATTCAATAACTTTTCTGCAGCATCACAGTGGACTAGATAGGGAGGGTGTCCGGATGGGGGTGGAGTTTCCTGAGGTGTCAGAGGCACTGGAAGGTCTAAGTAACTTTGGATGGCTAAAATGCTCTAGGAATCAGAGTCACTTGGTACAGTAAGATATTCCTCTGGGCATTGTAGTGAGACTGTGTCTGTACAAAAACATACAAAAATTAGCTGGATATGGTGGTGCGCACCTGTAGTCCCAGCCATTCAGGAGGCTGAGGTGAAAGAATCACTTGAGTCCAGGAGTTTGAGGCTGCAGTGTGTTATGATGACACCACTGCACTCCAGCCTGGGTGACAGGGCAAGGCCCTGTCTCAAAAAAGGTGTATACATATATGTATGTGCGTATACACACACACACACACGTAATCCTCTAGGGTCAAATAACCTAGAAGGTAGGGTGTTCATATGCTCAAAGTAAGCTAGGATTTATGGTGTTCAGGGGAATCAGTGTGTCCTCATAGAGATCTGATCCACTGGAGACTCAGGGCATCCTTGTATGGTCAGAGTAGTGTCCTGTGGGTTTGCCTTGTTTCTGGATGATAAGCATGCCCATGTAGGTTCCAAGTGTATTGTAGGATTTTTTTTTTGACAGAGTCTCGCTCTGTTGCCCAGGCTGGAGTGCAGTGAGTGGCGTGATCTCGGCTCACTGCAATCTCCGCCTCCCAGGTTCAAGCGATTCTCCAGCCTCAGCCTCCTGAATAGTTGGGACTACAGGCACGTGCCACTGTGCCTGGCTAATGTTTTTGTATTTTTAGTAGAGACAGGGTTTCACCATGTTGGCCAGGCTAGTCTTGAACTCCTGATCTCAAGCTATCTGCCTGCCTCAGCCTCCCAAAGTGCTGGGATTACAGGCGTGAGCCACCGTGCCCGGCATCTTGTAGGATTTTAAAAGGTCAGAGGACCCTGGGGAACAGGGTGTTAAGAGGATCCAAAGAGATCACATAGGATCAGATGAGATCTTAATGGTGAAAGTCAGAGAGTCTGGGAGACTTGGAGCATCTTGGGAAGGCAGGGGTATTGGGAAGGCAGGGGTATTGGAGAGACAGGGCGTCAGGGCAGGCAGGTGTTCTGGGCCTACAGGCATTTTCATCATGTCAGAACACTTGAAGTATCCTTACAACATCACCAGCTTCGAGGTCAGACTGTCCTGGAAGATCACACCACTTGCATGGAGTTAGGATGTTTTGGAGGTTGGTCTGGCTGCGTGATTCAGAGGCTCCTGGATGTTCTGGGAGTCCAGAGCTGTGAAGGTTTTCAGGTAGGTCAGCATATACTTTTGGTATTTGAATGCGGGAGATCAAGGTTTTCTGGAGCTCAGGTGGTCCTTGAAGGTTTGGGTAGACTTGAATGGATCTGTCATGGAGTAGAGTGCCAAGGTATTCTTGTGCAATCAAAGCATTTTCAGGAAATCAGAGGGTCCTGGATGAGCACAGTGTGCTAGGCAGGGGTGAGAGTATGGCAGAGTGAAGGTGTCCTGGCAGTTCTGGGATGTGTATTCTACAGACGGGTGAGAGTATGGCAGAGTGAAGGTGTCCTGGCAGTTCTGGGATGTGTATTCTACAGACGGGTGAGAGTATGGCAGAGTGAAGGTGTCCTGGCAGTTCTGGGATGTGTATTCTACAGACGGGTGAGAGTATGGCAGAGTGAAGGTGTCCTGGCAGTTCTGGGATGTGTATTCTACAGAGGGGTGAGAGTATGGCAGAAGTGAAGGTGTCCTGGCAGTTCTGGGATGTGTATTCTACAGAGGGGTGAGAGTATGGCAGAGTGGAGGTGTCCTGGCAGTTCTGGGATGTGTATTCTACAGAGGGGTGAGAGTATGGCAGAATGAAGGTGTCCTGGCAGTTCTGGGATGTGTATTCTACAGAGGGGTGAGAGTATGGCAGAAGTGAAGATGTCCTGGCAGTTCTGGGAATGTGTATTCTACAGAGGGGTGACAGTATGGCAGAGTGAAGGTGTCCTGGCAGTTCTGGGATGTGTATTCTACAGAGGGGTGAGAGTATGGTAGAGGTGAAGATGTTCCGGTAGTTCTGGGAATGTGTATTCTACAGAGGGTCTTGCAGGGAATAGTTGCCTTGAGAGGACAGAATCTCAAGAGTTAGAATAATCACCTTTTGGATTCAGGGGGTCCTAGTGTGTTGAAGCTGTGCTGGGCTGTCTGTGTATTGGGAGAGTGGGAGAGTGACAGTGACTAGGGTGCCTACTGACAACTCTAGGGCTGAGACAACCAGAGTACACTGGAAGGTTGGAGAGCCCTGGCATTAAGACATCCCCTGTGTCAAAGGCATGTTGGATGGTCAGAGTGCTTTGGGAGACCTGGATATGTCTTTTCTTCGTCAAAATATCCTATGGATCAGGCTAGTGTGGTCAGGGTATTTCCTGGGTTGGGGTTGGCATGTTGAGTGGTTTTTCAGTGTCAACAGCACTTTGCAAGATTCAAGCAAATTGGGGGCTCTGAACAGGCAGGAAGACAAGATGCCCTTGACGGTCTAGATTCTGTAAGGTCAGGAATTCCTTAAAAGGTTAGAATTTCCCAAATCTCACCATGTCCTCATGGTCTGGGTGACTTAGAGGGTCACAGAGTGATTGTGAGCCCAAGATGTTGTGCTGAGTGTAAGGTACAGAGGTCAGAGCCTCTTGGAGGGTCTGTGTGTCCTGGAGAGTGAATGCATCCTCAGTGCCCTCAGCATTCAAGGACCTGACAGGGCCAGAATGGGTACCCCAGGCAGCAGGATGCATTGTAATTCAGTGTTCTCTTGTGAGTCCAAGCTGACTGCATGTCACTGGGTCTTGCTAGGTTAGGACTGCCATGGGGTTCAGGGTGCTCCAGGAGGTCAAAGTGTGTCCTAGGGTAGGGGAGAAGGGTTAAAATTAGAGCAGTGTTTCCCAATTTTACGTTGCTATGGACTAAACGTTTGTGTCCCTCCAAAATTTCTACGTTGAAGTCCTAACACCCAACGTGATGGTATTTGAAGGTGGGGATTTGGGGAGGTGATTAGGTTTAGATGAGCTCATGAGGGTGAGGCCCCATGATGGGATTAGTGTCCTTACAAGCAGAGGAAAAGAAACCAGAGCTGGTTCTTTCTCCACCATATGAAGGCACCGAGAGAAGGCAGCCACCTGCAAGCCAGGAAGAGAGCCCTCACAGGGGAGCCAAATAGGCGGACCCCTTGATCTTAGACTTCCCAGCCTCCAGAACTGTGAGCAATAGAAGTCTATTGTTTAAACCACACAGTCTATGCTATTTTGTCATGGCAGCCCCAGCTGACTAAGACCCACGTGCACTCGGTTCTCCTGGAGATCTTGATACAAGGCAGATTGTGACTCAGTAGAATGGAGGTGGGGCCCAGGGATCTGCATTTCCAACATGCTCCCATTGCTGGTGCTGCTGCTGCTGCTGATCCATGGACCACACGGTAAGCATCGAAATCCTAAAGGATTCTGATTTCCTGTCTTGAATCACCAGCGTGTTTTTAAAGGACCTGTATGACGGCATGACCCTGGGAATCAGACTGTCCTGTGGGTACAGTGTGTTCCAGGGGGTCCATGTGTTCTCACTGGGTCAGTGTATCCTGAGAAGCAGAGGTGAAGTGTTCTGGGTGTCAGCGTGTCCCAGGGGATCCTAAGGTCCTGGGCTGTTGCATCATCCTTAAACTGTCAGAGTGTCCTGGGGATGTCAGAATGTACTTCCCAGGTCTAAGTAACCTCAAGGGGCAGAGTACTGTGGGACCAGGCTGTCCTGACTGCTCAGAGATTCCCGGTGTCAGGATTTTCTTGAAGAATCAGAATGTAGTATGTCACGGGAATCTCAGTCTCTTTCCAAGTCCTGGAGTCTGGAGTGGGTTTGGGGGTCAGGATGCAGCTGGAATGCAGATGTTCAGGTCAGGGTTTTCGGAGAGTCTGGGTGACCTTGGAAGGTCATGGTGTCCTGGGGGTTCTGGGTGAATGAGGAAGTGGTGTTTGAGGGAGGAAATCAGAAAGTACTTGAGAGCTAAGGTGTCCTGGAGGCCCATTCTCCGGAGTGGGTTCAGGTTGGCCTGAGCACTGGCTGGTGTGTTCTGAACTATCAGGGTATCTGAGAGGGGCCAGCATGCACTTGTGACTTCTCCTTTTTTAGTTTCCTGGAAGCAGATCCTTGAGTGTCACCCCCATGCTGAGACGCCAGGCAGGCTCCACTCCTGGGTCCCTTTCCCCTGCTCTTCGTTCCTCTCCCCACAGTGGGGTTGTGAGGAGGGGGTCTCGGGAGGAATGCATTTTCTCCTCCTCCCCCTGCCTGCTCCCAGGAGGGGATTTAACAGGACAAAAGAATCCGGTCCTCTGGGAATACGAGCCCTTGGCCCCAGTCCCTGGACCCTCCGACAGAACACCTTCCCTCATCCGGCTTGTGATCCTCCCTGAGCAAGGGGGCTCTGGTGACCGTGTAGTGATTGGATGGGCCCACAGGGGCGAGGAGGAGGTCACTCCTCCAAGACTCAGGGGTGGGATGGGAAAGTAGGCAGCTGACAGAAGGGAGCAGCATCCCGGTGGGGAGAAGGGCCAGGCAGAGAAAAGTAGTCAGAAACAGAGCAACAGGTGAGGCTGAGGCAGGAGATTGAGCTGACACTCAAGCCAAGGAAGGGGGAATTAGGAAACAATTAGAAAAAAAGTAAAGACAGTGAAAAAGTCAGAGACAGCTGCCTGCACCTACACACACATTCAGAGACAGAGTCCCAGAGGGTGGCATACACAGAGGGAGAAGGGGAGGGAACAGGTGTGGAGAGGAGCTGCGGAAGCAGAGAAATCTCAAGTCAGAGATTCAGGGACACTTGGTCCCCGTGGCGAGCCATGGAAGCAGAAAGGAGGCGCCAGGCTGAGAAGCCAAAGAAGGGGCGAGTCGGCAGCAACCTGTTGCCTGAGAGACACCCGGCCACTGGGACCCCGACCACCACGGTGGGTGAGTGACCGTCCCGGTGTGCGTGGGTCCCTGAGGAGGCAGCGGGTGTGAGGCTGAAAGCATAGGCTCCATGAAGAAGGTTAGGAGGAGAAATTAAAACCCGAATCCTATCATGTTAAAACTGTGGGAACCTTTGAAAGTAAAAGGGACTGGAGCACCCCTTGGCTTTACAGACTGGGGAACTGAGCCCTTGGCAGGAGGGGGCGGCTGAACAGCTCACATTGCAGTGGGGATGTGAGACAGTTACCTCTGTCCCCTCACTCCTGACCTCAGAGTTGGTTAGCCCAAGCCACTGCCTTCTCTGATGAAGGGAGCTGGAGGGGCCAGGGCTTTGGGTCCAGGGCGGGAGGGCGGGCTCCGTGTGTGTGTCCCCCATGGTGGACAGTGAGCTCTAGGAGGGTCCACGCCCTTGGGCCCCATGGGGATGGTGCCTCGGCTCCAGACATCTTTTCTTGGTGTGCGCCTTCCAGGTGTGTCCTTTCCCTCCCCGTTCTCTCCTCCCCAACAGCTCTCAGACTAATTAGTGTGGGGGCTTAGGGAGCCTGTGGGGAGGAAGGCAAGCCTTTCCCACGAGCTCAAGTTCCTGCAGCCTGGTGGCTGGGCCAGGGCAGGGGTAGGGAGGAGATGAAAAGTAAGTAGGGGAGGGTGTGTCTGAGCGGAAGAGGGGGGTGCCCATCTTCCCAGGTGAGGGGTGCGGGAGATGGCAGCAGTCTGAAGAAGGCACAGGTTGAACAGGAGCCTCGCCAGCAGGGGACAAGCACTAGGGTCTTCCGTAGACAGCTGGGACGATTGTTAGGGTGCAGGTGCACACAGCAGACCCACAGGGTGAGCCCCAGGTGGTCGTGTGTGTCCAGAAGGGTGAACGTACATGGAGGGGTATGTGTCTGGCAGTGCAATAGGAAGTGGGCAGACAGTAGAGTTGCCAGGTAGACAGTGCATGAGTGCCAGGGCCAGGAATGAGTCTGAGGGTGTGCCCTGTGTAGACAGCACAGCCTGGTGTCAGAGACTCAGAGGCAACCAGGGGCCGAGGCTGAGCAGGGTGCAGGAACCAGGCTATGGCAGCTAAAAGATTCCCGGTGGGGCAGGGCTGGGTGCGGTGGCTCAGGCCTATAATCCCAGCACTTTGAGAGGCTGACATGGGAGGACTGCTTGAGGCCAGGAGTTTGAGACCAGCCTGGGCAAGATAGCAAGACCCCATCTCTAATTTTTTATTTTTTTAATTAGCTGGGTATGTTGGTGTGCACCTGTAGTCCCAGCTACTCAGGAGGCTAAGGCAGTAGGATCACTGGAGCCCAGGGGTTCGAGGCTGCAGTGAGCTGTGATCACACCACTGCACTCCAGTCTGGGAGACAGAGCAAGACTCTGTCTCAAAAAAAGACTGGAGCAGCACAGGACGCACTGAGCGCAATCCCGGGACAGGCACATGTGGTCCAGCACCGAGGAGCGTCCTCCTCAGAAGCCGCCCCTCCCTTCTCTCCGTTCTCAGACTCGAGTGCTCCACCCTGCAGAAGGCTCCCTGGTGCAGGAGGGGGGAGATCAAGGTTCTCCCCGCAAGGAGGACAGAGGGGCCGCCCGCACTCCCGGCGCCGCCACCGCACCACCTTCAGCCCAGTGCAGTTGGAACAGCTGGAGTCAGCCTTTGGGAGGAACCAGTACCCCGACATCTGGGCCCGAGAGAGTCTTGCCCGGGACACTGGCCTCAGTGAGGCCCGAATCCAGGTGATGCTCCAGGATCCTCCTCTCTCAGGAAAGAAATGCAGATTTCTTTGGTGCTATCATAGAATGTTGGGCATTATAACCCTAACCTAAATGGTCACCAGACACAGGCCTCATCTCACCACCAGCATCAGAGCAACTGCATTGAGAATATCATATCACTTGAGTTTAACCCTAGCTATAAGCTAATCTAACTTGAATTTCAACACCTACCCTCAATATTTAATAGTGATGCCAATTCCGGCTGGGCACAATAGCTCACACCTGTAATCCCAGCACTTTGGGAGGCCAAGCTGGATGGATCACCTGAGGTTAAGAGTTCGAGACCAGCCTGGTTAACATGGTGAAACCCCATCTCTGCTAAAAATACAAAAAATTAGCCAGGCATAGTGGCAGGTGCCTATAATTAATCCCAGCTACTCCGGAGGCTGAGGCAGGAGAATCACTTGAACCCGGGAGGTGGAGGTTGCAGTGAGCCAAGATCATGCCACTGCACTCCAGCCTGGGCAACAAGAACAAAACTTTGTCTCAAAAAAAAAAAAATAGTGATGCCAATTCCAACAGAAGTTCAATCCTAACTGTCCATATTCTTACAGAAGCTTGTCCCTAACCATAGCCTTGAAACTCAATGAGCCAAATGCTCCCTCAATCCTAACCCCAGGGTTGGTTAGCCTTAAGTGTAAACCCTACCCTAAATTCAAGCTTGTCTATAGCAATTACATTTATCTACAGTCTTAATCGTTAAACTTAACCCTAGGGGAAATTTCCCATTCTCTGGGGAAGGGAAATGTCATTGTCACCATATTTATCTCCTTGGTGGAAGCTGACACTTCTTACTTGCCCCGAGTGTTAGAAAAGGGCACATGTGGACAGAGGCTGGGGACAAGTCTGTGGGTTCCTTTGTCAGCAGACCAGGCTCAGCCAAGCCTTGTGGAAGAGCTTTACTCCCTCTGGCCATGCTGGAGAAGCCTGCTCCCTGTCCCTGCACCTCTTGTCATTGGAGTAGGGTGTCACCACCTATGTCAAGTGTGGGCTCTGATGTGGTTCCTACCCCTTCTCAGGTCTGGTTCCAGAACCGCAGAGCTAAGCAACGGAAGCAAGAGCGCTCACTGCTTCAGCCTCTGGCCCATCTGTCTCCTGCCGCCTTTTCCAGCTTCTTGCCAGAGTCCACTGCTTGCCCCTATTCTTACGCAGCACCACCACCACCAGTGACCTGCTTCCCTCACCCCTACAGCCATGCCCTCCCTTCCCAGCCCTCCACAGGAGGCGCCTTTGCTTTGTCACACCAGTCTGAGGACTGGTACCCTACCTTGCACCCAGCCCCTGCCGGCCATCTGCCCTGCCCCCCACCCCCTCCCATGCTCCCCCTCAGCCTTGAGCCATCCAAGTCCTGGAACTGAGGTCAAACAAGTACCACCAAGGTGATCCCCAGCCTGCGGCCCTCGTGAAAAGACAAGAAAATGGGGTGGCTTCCTTTCCATCTATGGGTGAAGCAGATGCATGGTGAGGGTCAGCTCAGCGATTAGAAATTTAAAAATGGGAGATCATGGTGAATTCTCACTGGGGTGATTAGTGGAGGAAGTCTGGGGAGGTGAGCTACTGGAAGAGACAGGGCAAGATGCCTCGGTGGAGCTGCCTGCTGAAGGGTGATATTGATGAAGACAGTTGCTGGTGAGTGGAGATGATTGAAGGGCTAGGAGGTGAGGGCCTTCATTAATTGAGATCACGATTGAAGAAGATCCCAGCTCTTTCTGGCTGATTTCAGTAAGGCTTCTGACTTAAGAGTCTACCTATACATCCCTTCCCCATTGCCCACCCCGCCATCTCAATCAGTCACTGACTTTTGTTTATTCTGTCCTAGAAATACCTTTTTTTTTTTTTTTTTTTTTTTTTTGAGACAGAGTCTTGCTCTGTCGCCCAGGCTGGAGTCCAGTGGCACAATCTCGACTCACTGCAAGCTCCACCTCCTGGGTTCACGCCATTCTCCCGCCTCAGCCTCCCGAGTAGCTGGGACTACAGGTGCCCGCCACCACGCCCGGCTAATTTTGTTTTTGTATTTTTAGTAGAGACGGAGTTTCACCATGTTAGCCAGGATGGTCTCAATCTCCTGACCTCGTGATCTGCCCGCCTCGGCCTCCCAAAGTGCTGGGATTACAGGTGTGAGCCACTGAGCCCAGCCGAAATATCTCTTCAGAGTGTCCCCTCCTTTCCATTCCAGCAGACACTTGGCTTTTTCTGACCCCGTATTTTCTGACTTATTGTCGCATAGGTTCCCTTAACTCTAGTCTATCCCACTTCCAACAAACCTGTGCAAATCTCAACATCAAGGAATGCTCTCCAATGTCTTATAAAAAATACATCAATCAGATTTGATTAGTTTTGCCTGTAGAAGTCTTCAACATCTGCCTTCAACTTTTAAATCAGCGGCACATTTTAACATATGTGGTTTCTGATAGAGAAGAAACCATTTGATTTAGGGCAAACTTTTCTAAGACGAAACCGTCTGAGGCTGATGAGGGGTCATTCCCAGGAAGGGACCTGCCTCTTCTGGGAAACGCCTTGGTCTGAACCCTCTCAAAAGAAACAGCATGGAGCCTAGTTCATGGTACAATTTTTATGCGATATTGCTTATTATGCACTTATTTTACTCACAATTCACTTATTTATATGTATGCTTACCTCTCTTATTGGAGGGTTCATAGAAAACTTTTTTAAATTAAATTTTTTTTTCTTTTTTGAGACGGAGTTTTGCTCTTGTTGCCCAAGCTGGAATGCAATGGAGTGATCTCGGCTCACTGCAACCTCCGCCTCCCGCGTTCAAACAATTCTCCTGCCTAAGCCTCCCGAGTAGCTGGGATTACAGGGTGTGCCACCGTGCCCGGCTAATTTTTTGTATTTTTAGTAGAGACGGGGTTTCACCATGTTGGCCAGGTTGGTCTTGAACTCCTGACCTCGAATGATCCACCTGCCTCAGCCTCCCAAAGTGCTGGGATTACAGGTGTGAGCCACTGCGCCAGGCCTGATTTTTTTAATATTTAATTTTTATTTTTTCATGTGCCTCTAGATATGATTTTTATTCTTGGTTTTTTTCCCCTCCCTCTTTCATCTCTCTCCTCTCTTCCAACTCCTCTTCCCTGTCCCATCCCTGCTACCCATTTAGTGGGAAGGAAGTTTCCCTGTGCCTGCAGCCCTGCTCCCCGACCCTCAGCAGGGTTACCTCCTGCAGAAGCAGGGCAAGGGGTAGGGACAAGGGACGGGGAGGCAGCTCGATGAAGTGAAGAATGAAGCCCCTGGAGGGAGGTGGATGGTGATGGCAGCAGTGGTGGCTGTCAGCCGGCATTCTCGTGCTCACAGCACTTCACAGAAGAATTTTTTTTTTTTTTTCTTGGGACTGAGTCTCACTCTTGTCACCCAGGCTGGAGTGCAATGGCGTGATCTCAGCTCACTGCAACCTCCACTTCCTGGGTTCAAGCGATTCTCCAACCTCAGCCAACTGAGTAGCTGGGATTACAGGCATGTACCACCACGCCCACATAATTTTTTTTTTTTTTTTTGAGATGGAGTCTCCCTCTTTCGCCCAGGCTGGAGTGCAGTGGTGTGATCTCGGCTCACAGCAACCTCTGCCTCCCGGGTTCAAAGTGATTCTCCTGTCTCAGCCTCCCGAGTAGCTGGGACTACAGGCGCCCGCCACCAAAGCCGGCTAATTTTTGTATTTTCAGTAGAGATGGGCTTTCACCATATTGATCAGGCCAGTCTCGAACTCCTGACCTCAGGTGATCCGCCTGCCTCGGCCTCCCAAAGTGCTGGGATTACAGGCGTGAGCCACCACACCCAGCCTCACCTAATTTTTGTATTTTTAGGAGAGCTGGGGTTTCACCATGTTGTCCAGGCTGGTCTCAAACTCCTGATCTCAGGTGATCCACCTGCCTCGGCCTCCCAAAGTGATGGGATTACAGGCATGAGCCACCACACCCGTCCCATAGAATAATCTTTAAACGGGCCTTTAGTGATGGATACTCAAGTTGTGAGTAGTTTTTTATATATATTATTAAAAAGTCTGGAATCACAACCCCTGTATTACACAATTGCACTCCTACCTAATTATCTCCTTGAGCCAGACTGCCTTCTAGAAAAATTACACTGGTTTGAATTCCACCAAAAGAACCTGAGTATTGGTTTCAGCACCTCCTTGTTAACCTGTACCATTTTTGACAATTTGTTAACTGAGAGTGATGTCTTCTTGTTTGCTTATTTTAAAATGTTCATTAATTGCTAGTGAGAGTTAAAAGTTTCATGTTTATTGGCAATTTACATTTTTCTTTTCTGCATTGCCTCTGTGTTGTGTATTTGTATATTGATATAGTCATCTTTTATTAGCGTCTGAGAGCTTTGTGGATTAGGGATATGAATTCCTATTCATACATGTTACAACCAATTTTTTTTTTTTTTTGAGACATAGTCTCACTTTGTCATCCAGGCTGCAGTCCAGTGGCACTATCTCGGTTCACTGCAACCTCTGCCTTCCGGGTTCAAGCGATTCTCCTGCCTCAGTCTCCCAAGTAGCTGAGGCTACAGATGCACGCTGCCATGCCCGACTAATTTTTGTGTTTTTAGTAGAGATGGGGTTTTACTATGTGGGCCAGGCTGGTCTGGAACTTGTGAGCTCAAGCAATCCACTGGCCTCGGCCTCCCAAAGTGTTGGGACTACAGGCATGAGCCACCACGCCTGGCCACACATTGCAACTATTTTTTAAAGTTGGTTATTTGTCTTTTAGCCTTTCGCAGTGAAGTTTTCCTGAGAGAATTAACACGAATTTCCGACACCTGTTGTATGTAAGGCATTAACTTCTGTCTGAAACATCTAGAATGACACCAGTTTTGTAGAACTGGTAGATGTTTTAGAAATTAGTCACTCAGTTCATTTTCTGTGTTGTGTGGTTCAGATGAAGAGCCCCGGGTGAGAAATCTGTTTTTAGTGGTTTGATCTATGTTTTCTTTATTATTTGGATCAAAAGGCTACAACTTGAATCACCTGAAATTTATTTTGCTATGTGCAGCAAAATAGTCATGCAATTTCCCTCAATCAGCTAATTAGTTATTCCATTGTTATTTACTTAATCGTCAAACTTCACCCTATTGATTTGTAAAATCATAATTTTTCATATACTGAGTTCTCATATATATATACAGATGTGTATATATATACAGATATATATATATATATATATATACAGATGTGTATATATATATATACCGATGTGTATATATATATATATGGGACAGCTGTGGACTCCTCATTCTTTTTCATCAATCAGTTTCTCTATTCCAGTTCCAGCACTACAGTCTTTTAATGATTGAAATGTAAGAATTATCAATACCTTTAAAATATTTAATTTTCTTATCCAAACACAAGGTGTGTCTTGTCGTTTCTTCCAGACTTCTGTTATGTCCTTCAGGAATTTAAAAAAAACATTTTTTTTTTTTTTTGAGACCGAGTCTTGGTCTGTTGCCCAGGCTGGAGTGCAATGGTGAGATCTCGGCTCACTGCAACCTCCGCCTCCCAGGTTCAAGCAATTCTCTTAGCCTCCAGAGTAGCTGGCACTACAGGTGCATGCTACCATACCCAGCTAATTTTTGTATTTTTTTTTTTTTTTTTTTTTTAGAAGAGATGGGTTTCACCATGTTGGCCAGTCTGGTCTCGAACTCCTGTTCTCAAATGATCTACCTGCCTTAGCCTCCCAAAGTGCTGCAATTACAGGCATGAGCCACTGCGCCTGATCAGAATTTTTATTTAAAAAACAACTTCCATATATCATACCCTTTATATAAAGTGTTTAAATGTGCAAAATAAACATTATGTAAAGGTTTAAAAATGATTATATGTTTACTTTTGCATGGCGTATGTTAGAGCGCTGTTTTGTAGTGGGCAGGCCTGTGCAAACCCACTCCAAAGTCCAAGGAAGCTGAGAGGCCAAAGGCTGAAAAATTCAGTTTCTTAAAAAGAAACATTGAGGCCAGGCACTGTGGCTCACACCTGTCATCCCAACACTTTGGGAGGCCGAGGTAGGCAGATCACAAGGTCAGGAGTTCGAGACCAGCCTGAGCAACATAATGAAACCCCATCTCTACCAAAAATACAAAAATTAGCCAGGCATGCTGGCTCACGCCTGTAATCCCAGCTACTCAGGAGGCTGAGGCAGGAGAATCGCTTGAATCTGGGAGGCAGAGGTTGCAGTGAGCCGAGATCGTACCACTGTACTCCAGCCTGGGTGACAGAGCAAGACTCCATCTCAAAAAACAAAACAAAACAAAACAATTAAAAACATTGAACAGGGCCTGAGAGCAGAAGCCACATCCATGTCCTGAGCTGTGGCCAGAGAAGATGGTGTCTACCCCCTCAAGACCCAGGGATTCTATACTAGAGGGGAGGGGCACCCGTGCTTCAGAGGGAATGGGTACGACTTTGTCCTAAGTGCCGATTTACGGGGAATACCTCTTTACCTACCCTTACACAAGGAACGATCTTGGATCCCAGAACGGGGTTAATCAGAATTCCACTTGGTGGCTTAGCATCCAAAATAGAATGACTAGCCTCTCATCCGAGATGGAATTCCTTTAGCCTCCACCAGTGCATACACAGGAAGTAAACTCGGAAGACAGGCACACAAATGACAGCATGTCTTAGAAGTGGAAAGCACAGTGTAACACAGGATCTGAACCGAGGGGTACTCAGTGCTATCTGGGTGGCTTTGTGTTTGTCATATAGCCCAGGCTAATGGCTTTTTCCTTTTTAGAATTGAAAATGGGATCCTGCCAGGTGCGGGTGGCTCACGCCTGTAATCCCAGCGCTTTGCGAGGCGGAGGCAGGCAGATCATGAGATCAGGAGCTTGAGACCCTGGCCAACACGGTGAAACCCCGTGTCTACTAAAGATACTGGGCGTGGTGGCGCACACCTGTAGTCCCAGCTACTCGGGAGGCTGAGGCAGGAGAATCACTTGAACCCAGGAGGTGGAGGTTGCAGTGAGCTGAGATCTCACCGCTGCACTCCAGCCTGGCGACAGAGCGAGACTCCATCTTAAAAAATAAAAACAAAAATGGGATCCTGCCATATATGTTATAATGTCCTTTTAAAACTAACAACCTATGGACATCTTGCGAGTGGCTCATACAGATTTTATTGTTTTCATTGCTAACTGGCAGTTCATTGTTTGGTGTTTTGTTTTGTGCCTCTGCAGTTATATTGCTAAAGGATTTTTTTTTTATTAAAGGTAAAATCATGACTCAGAGATGCAAAATAATTGTGTACTAAATATCTTAATTCATTATGGAGGCAATAATGAAGATGTTTAAACCAAGGACAATCCAAAGAACAGACACATTTATAGATGAATAGCAAAGTGAACGTGTAAATGGACACACAGCTGGCCTCTTCCACAGTTGGGGAGCGTAGTCAACCGAATCTCCACGGAACAGAATTCACGTACCTGTCTAGGGGCCGGGCTATTTTTGCATTGCAATCAGCTACAATGTTGTAAAATAGCCCAAAAGCCCGGAAGGCCTCAGAGACCCGATAGAATCAAAACCGGAAAGGAGGGCCCTCATGCCGGTTTCCATCAAAACACTTTCCCCTACAGTTTCCTCTTATCCAGGTGCTTTTGTTTTTGTGGGATAGCTGTCCCAAGTTAGGATTGCTGTGTTAAACGTTATGTTTATTTAAAATGGTAAGAGATACTGCCTGAGTAGCTTGCCAAAAAGTGTAGTTTAGGATGTTGTCTCATCGAATAATAATAGTTAATAATAAAGCCTAGAAAAATGCCCCATAATATTTCTTCAACGATTTGACTAAAAGTAAAGCAAAACAAAAAACCTATAATAAATCCAGAACCAATTTTGTGTATACCGAAAACCAGAGGATTGAGTTTCTTCTAGATCGACAACTATACCAGCACTATTTATTAAATAAACTAACATTCTCACATTGAATCGAATCGATCCCTTTATCAATTCATTAAATTTCCATAGGTGTCACAATCTCTTCCGGGCACTCTGTTTCGGAGCTGGTTCTCCCAGCAGCTTTTCAGGCTCACGCCGGCGGTGGCGCAGACCTAGGGTCTCCCACACTCGCCGTGCCCACACTCGCCCTGCCCACACTCGCCGTGCCCACACTCGCCGTGCCCACACTCGCCGTGCCCACACGCCCTGCCCACACTCGCCCTGCCCACACTCGCCCTGCCCACACTCGCCCTGCCCACACTCGCCGTGCCCACACTCGCCCTGCCCACACTCGCCCCTGAGCTGGCCTGGAAAGCGCAAAAGGTGGGAAGTCAAGTTCTCTGCGCCCTTCCCTTCTACATTCGCTAGTCCTCGCCCACCTCCTTTCCTGCGGCCCCGACCCTCTGACGCCCCTGCGGGAGGCGTGCGCCCTAGACAGCCCTTCTCGCCGCCCGCCCGCCCGCCCGCCAGAGTTCTGGCGCCTGCGGTGCCCTGGACTGAACAGGCTGCAGGCTTTGGGCCTGAACACCGCAGACTGGCGCCCCAGCAACCCAGCCTGGGCGACAGCGGAGTGCGCACCCGATGGACTCCCCTGTCTTCCCTTCTCGGTAGAGGAGATGCTCTTTTTTGTTGTTTTGAGACGGAGTCTCGCTCTGTCCCCCAGGCTGGAGTGCAGGGGCGCGATCTGGGCTCACTGCAAGCTCCGCCTCCCGGGTTCACGCCATTCTCCTGCCTCAGCCTCCGGAGTAGCTGGGACTACAGGCGCCCGCCACCACGCTCGGCTAATTTGTTGTATTTTCAGTAGAAACTGAGTTTCACCGTGTTAGCCAGGATGGTCTCGATCTCCTGACCTCGTGATCCGCCCGCCTCGGCCTCCCAAAGTGCTGGGACTACAGGCGTGAGCCACCGCGCTCCGCCGAGGAGATACTCTAGAAGCTTAAAACTGGCAGAGTTGGAAGTTGCCCCGTTTACGATTAAAAAAATAAAACGAGTGTCTTTCCAGCAGCTTCACCCTCGCTCCATCCCATTCCTGCCAAGGGGAGAATGCAGCCCCGTTGAAGCTGAAGTCATGAATTCGACTTTGTGCTGGGAAATCGCAATCCCTGGTCTCTCAGGAAGGGCCCTTCCTTCCCAGCAGGATCCAACTTGGAGTATAGAAAAGGAAGGACTTGGAGCTCGAAGTGGGTGTGCGGGGCGGGAGCTCTGAGTGGCTCGGCCGGGCGCAGAGCTCCAGGGGATGCAGCGATCTGGGCGCCCCTCACCACTGAAGACCCCTGGGCCGGGGCGCCGAGACCAGGCGGGGAGGCGCGGTCCCCGGGCGCGCCCCTGCGAGCGGAAACCCTCTAATCTTGCTCGGGAGCCGCAGCGGTCGCGTTGCCAGACGCAAGTTTAACGAGGACAAAGCCGAGCCTTTAAAAGGGCAGATTCTGTGCGAGATCTCGCCTGCCTGGAACGTTCCGTCGAGGGTCTGCTGGAACCCGCGGGGCCCCTCCTGCACCCCCGGGGACTCCGGGCCGACTTTACCCCCTCACCTTCACGGAGCCGAGGGCAGGGCCTTGCTGTGCGCTCCAGGCACTTCTGGATGGCCGGACTCTGGCCCATCTCCGCGCCGTCGGCCCAGCGAAAATTGCACCTGGCGGCCCCGCGGGATGCAAAGGGACCTGCTCCGTCGTGGGACGAGCTCTCTTGGGTCGGAACCAACCCGGCTCAACCCGGCCGGCGCCTCCTGGGTCCCCGTGGAGCTGCTTCCCCAACGCGCCACGCCTGACGTCCGGGTCTCCACAAGAGTCCTTCCCAGTCCAGCTTTGGTTTTTCTTCCAGAAACGGGCGCCTGGCTCCCAAGATCGGAGAGGACAAGTGAAAAGCCCGGCCCACTGCCTGTCCTGCGTCTCTACCCAGCTCGGCTCCCTCTGGTACCAGGAGAGGGCTCTCCCAGCTGGAGAGTGGACGCCACTTGCCAGTCCTGGAGCGGTCTACACCCCCCACCTCCGCAAATGGTGCCCCCACTTGGCTTCCTGGGGCCTAAGGCTCGGCCTGCCCTTGGCAAGATGGAATCCGGGAATAGCAGGATGGGTGCCATTCGGTCAGGGAATCCCAGTACTGGGACCCTGGGCTAGAAGTGGGAGAAGGGGCTGCGACTCCGGGTGGCACATGCCCTGGACCCTGAGAACTACCCACTATGCTCCCGGAACTACTCGCCCCGCTCCTCCAGAGAGGCGCTACTGCAGGAGGCCCACGGCTCTCCAAGACTGGCCTCACAGCAGGGGCTCTGCCTGCTCTAAGACTGTGCTGTGTGGGCATTACAATGGCTTTTTCCAGGTTTTATTGAAATTATCTGAACCTCTCCCCCGAAATTGGAGCACGCACACTCTCTCCTATTAGCTGGAAGAAGAAGCTGAACTAAAGAGGCTCTCTAAGGCTCCTCTTTTGAATGTGGGCAAAATTAGCCTGGAAGTCTTCCAAGTTCCCACCCCACCAAGATCACCCCTCCCTCCAGCCTGCCCCTCAATTCACCCCCTCACAACCAGCATCTGGATGCCCAGGGAGCGCCTTACTGCCGTAATGGCACCCTACAAGCAGCCCAAGGTGGAGGAGGGGTAGGAGTCAGTTGCACAGAGTGGCCATTGCCCAGGTTATGTGGATGTCAGGGAGGTTGGGAAGAGAATGACTGTGTGTTTGGGGGGGTCATCAGTATCTGTATATGGCTAGCAAGCTATATGGCTGAAGGCTTTGGGGCTTAGGGACCAATCAAATTTGGTTGCAGGACTCCTGAGTCACCTGAGCCCTGGCGTCCTTGTTCCTCTGAATGGGACATAGGTAGTCACTGTATTTTGTCTAGTAGACAGGTTACCTATGGGAGAATCCAGCATTTTCTACAGTGTGATGGGCCCATGTTGCCCCAGGGAAAGGAGGACACAAGGCACGCCAAGAACCAGGGCCTGAGGCCTAAGTGCTGGCAAGGCGAAAGGGGTTGGGGTGCTGACAGCCAGCTCCTGACCACACCGGCTCTCCAGTTGCAGGGAAGGGATAGGTGCCCCAGGGTGAAGGAAGTCAGGTCACCTGGCCTATCTCCAGAAGACAAAACTGACCCTGGGTGAAACCACCTACCTGAGCAGCAGTGGACGAACTGTTCAGACCCCAAGACCACCTTCCCTCCACTGGTATAACCTCTTCTGCTTTTCTGTCGGACTCCTCAGATAGCACAACTGGAATTCTGATTCTTACAGAATCCTGCAAATATTTATCAGGCACCTACCGAGTGCCCAGCAGGGAGCCAGAAGCTGGAGATTTGTCTTGGACCCAAGAAGTTCCTGCTGGACACTGGGACATACCAGGACAGGATCATGTGAGCCCAGGCCAGGTTTCTAGAGGGGATCCTCTCCCTCTCTCCCATGTCGGAGACTTACCTCCACTCTGCGGAGTTCCTCTTCTGAGCACACCTGCAGGCGCTGCGTTTTGTACACTGGAGGGGGTTGGAGGGGAAAGGAATGGGAGGGTCAGAGCAGCCCTGGCCTGGGGCCCCTGCGGAAGCCTTTGGTCCTGAAAGCCGTGACTGGACACAGGACCTCCTTCTACACACTGATGGGCAGGGGACTTCCCTTGTGTGCTGACTTTCCACAGCCACCACTATGCAGATCCAACTGTTTCCTGCTTCCTGAGACATTGTCCCAGCTAAGCTAAGTGTCCCCAGCAGCCTTGCCGTCCCAGATCCGGGTGGTGGGCAGCAGCAGTGAACCCAAAGGGGAACCCTCTTGGCCGCAGCACCTCCGTGTCGCCAGGGCGGGGCCCTGGGTGCTGGCAGCTGTCCCGCCTCTGCAAAACCTCAGGTCTGTGGCGCCTCCTGGCTGCTGCTTCCTTGGAGGCCATGCAAAATGTCCCAGGCACTCCTTCCTGCCCTCTGGGGACCACGTTGGAGGTGAGGGGTCAGATCCCAGGGGAGGTCCCGTGCCCTGGGGGTGGGAGGGAGAGTGGTGTTGCAGGCAGGAGAGACGGTGTGGTGGGCAGAAGACTAGACTGCTGAGCCCTGGTGTGGCAGCAGCTGTGCGTCTCCCTGGATGCCTGAACCCCTTGCCCATTTGAGACGGGCTGTGAGGGTCGGGTGGTTCAGGGAGGGAAGGATGGCAGGGCCGCTGCTCCTACCCCCACCCCCCCAACCTCTCTGGGCTCTGAAGCAACGTATCAAACTTCCCATTCCCCCGTCAGAGCCATCTATCCACCATCCATCCATCCATTCATTCGGCCATCCATCCACCATCCATGTGTCCACCATCCATCCTTTTATCCGTCCATTCAGCAAATATCCATCGAGCCCCTGCCCTGTGCCAATGTTGTTCTAGGCACAAGGGATACTTCAGCAAGCCATTCATTCTATTTGGGGGATAAACAATAACGAAACAAATAAATAAGAAGATAACAGTAGTGCCGTGCTGCAGTGAATAATGGATCCACATTGCCCCAGGACAGCACTGCCCACACCGTGATGTACAAAAAGCGATGCACAAGAGGGCCAGAGCCTGGCCCCACCTAGCAAGGGGTCCACCGAGCCCCTCCCTCATTATCCGCGGCTGTCCCCATGACACCCCCGCTACCCGCTGCACAGGCCAAGACCCGGGAGTTCCTATACTCCATTCCTCCTCACACACCTGCCGTGACCTCAGCGAGTTGTGGGCAGGTGAGGTCACTTCACGCACCCGGTCTTCCCGCTTCTCTCCAGCCTTCCCACCATGCCCAGCCCATGCTGTCATCATGCCCACTCCCACCACAGCAAAGCCCACTAACATCCATCCGCTTCAACTTGTGCTTGCCACGGCAGCTGCCCATGTTTCTCAAGTGTGACCAGGTTGCACTGCTGTTGGGATTAAAACCTGCAGCCAAAAGAGAATCTGAAGTGGCCACCAGAGTCCATGAGGCCTGGTCCGACTGGGCGGCTAGCCACTCTGCCCCACTTCTCTCCACCCCTTGTTCTCCTCTCTAAGCCCCACCGCAGCCCTGCCTTTCACCCTCAGGGCTCTGCACTTGCATCCACCTGTGCTGTGAACACGCTCTGCCCAGTCCCGGCACGGCTGGCTCCCTACTCGTCAGAGACTCTGGCCTCCTCCTCTAAGACAGCCCGCCCCATCTCTCTCCCCCGCTCAGCCAGGAGAGCCACCCCCTTCCCAGTCTGGCTTCCACCAGCCTCTGAGTCTTGGCAAACCAGAAACTCCCCGCTGGCTGGGGAAACTGACTGTCTGATTGGCTGGGGGCGGACAGAGCCTGGCTAACCCTGACTAACAGTTGGAGGGCTACGTGAGAAAAAATGGCTCCAGTAAGTGCTTGGAAGCCTGTAGTTTGAGGCAGCAGCAAGCTGGGGACAGGCCAAGGCTGAGGGTGGGACAATGGGCATCAGGCCTCAAAGAACCTGGATCCTGTGCGATCTCGCTTTTCCTTGCTGCCATCTGGAGCCGGGGAGAAATGCGCTCCCACGTGCTCTGTGTGTCACACACACACACACACACACACACACAGGGAGAAATGGGCTCCCACGTGCTCTGTGTGTCACACACACACACACACACCCAGGGAGAAATGGGCTCCCACGTGCTCTGTGTGTGTCTCTCACACACACACACACACACACACACACACACCCAGGGAGAAATGCGCTCCCACGCGCTCTGTGTCACACACACACACACACACACACACACACCCAGGGAGAAATGCACTCCCACGTGCTCTGTGTCTCTGTCTTACACACACACACACACACCCAGGGAGAAATGCGCTCCCACGTGCTCTGTCTCTGTCTTACACACACACACACACACACACACACACACACCCAGGGAGAAATGAGCTCCCACGTGCTCTGTGTCTCTGTCTTACACACACACACACACCCAGGGAGAAATGAGCTCCCACGTGCTCTGTGTCTCTGTCTTTCACACACACACACACACACACACACACACCCAGGGAGAAATGAGCTCCCACGTGCTCTGTGTCTGTCTTTCACACACACACACACACACACACACACACCCAGGGAGAAATGAGCTCCCACATGCTCTGTGTCTCTCTCTCACACACACACACACACACACACCCAGGGAGAAATGAGCTCCCACGTGCTCTGTGTCTCTGTCTTACACACACACACACACACACACACACACACACCCCCAGGGAGAAATGAGCTCCCACGTGCTCTGTCTCTGTCTTTCACACACACACACCCAGGGAGAAATGAGCTCCCACGTGCTCTGTGTCTCTTTCACACACACACACACCCAGGGAGAAATGAGCTCCCACGTGCTCTGTCTTTCACACACACACACACACACACCCAGGGAGAAATGAGCTCCCACATGCTCTGTGTCTCTGTCTTTCACACACACACACACACACACACACACACACACACACACCCAGGGAGAAATGAGCTCCCACGTGCTCTGTGTCTGTCTTTCACACACACACACACACACACACACACACACACACACCCAGGGAGAAATGAGCTCCCACGTGCTCTGTGTCTCTGTCTTTCTCACACACACACACACACACACACACACACACCCAGGGAGAAATGAGCTCCCACGTGCTGTGTCTCTGTCTTTCACACACACACACACACACACACACACCCAGGGAGAAATGAGCTCCCACGTGCTCTGTGTCTCTGTCTTTCACACACACACACACACCCCCAGGGAGAAATGAGCTCCCACGTGCTCTGTCTCTGTCTTTCACACACACACACACACACCCAGGGAGAAATGAGCTCCCACGTGCTCTGTGTCTCTTTCACACACACACACACACACACACACACACACACACACCCAGGGAGAAATGAGCTCCCACGTGCTCTGTGTCTCTGTCTTTCACACACACACACACACACACACCCAGGGAGAAATGAGCTCCCACGTGCTCTGTGTCTCTGTCTTTCACACACACAAACACACACACCCAGGGAGAAATGAGCTCCCACGTGCTCTGTGTCTCTGTCTTTCACACACACACACACACACACACACCCAGGGAGAAATGAGCTCCCACGTGCTCTGTGTCTGTCTTTCACACACACACACACACACACCCAGGGAGAAATGAGCTCCCACGTGCTCTGTGTCTCTGTCTTTCACACACACACACACACCCAGGGAGAAATGAGCTCCCACGTGCTCTGTGTCTGTCTTTCACACACACACACACACACACACACACACCCAGGGAGAAATGAGCTCCCACGTGCTCTGTGTCTCTTTCACACACACACACACACACACACACACACACACACACACACACACACACACACACACGGCTGCAGGTGAGTTGTTTCTAGAACCAGAGCTTATATGAAGAGAAAAATAGAAGGGACAGAACAGTGTGTTCCCAGATCACACCTGCAGTTCCCACAGGCTGGGGTGGGGGTCTGGGGCCCGGCTCTGCTGGCTCAGTCACTTTGCTTCTCCTCAAGTTCCCTCTGTGGAACTGGGCGCTGTTTCCACCAAACCGTCTGCTCTCCAGTCCCACAGGGGCTGCTGTCAGTCACCCTACGGCCTCTCTGCCTAGGCTTTGAAACTGATTCATTGTTCTTTTGCTGTATTTTTCTTTGTAGGTTTCAGAATTCTCTGTTTATTTATGATAATTTGGGAAGGATCCTGGGAGAGTGAAAATAAATGAAGTGCGCAATCTGCCAAGTTTCACTGGAGGCTCCACTGATCCTTCCACCATGCTCAAATGCCTGCAGGAAATCTGGGGAATCATCTTTCCTACCCTAAGACCCTGGGACTTAGCACTGGCCCTGAGGCCCCTGACAGGCATAAACTAATCAGCAAATGTGCAGGAAAAATGCGGAGCTGCAAGATCAAAGTCAGATTCCCACTCTCCCTAAAGGCCTGGATTCCCCTGGAAACCCACATCCTCACTGCCTGGAAGGAGCGATGAGGACCCAGGGGAGTGGCTCTGGGCATCAACTGGTCCAGGCAGGAGGCGGTTCCCCATGTCCCATCTTTCCAGCACCGAAGGGAGCCTCTCAGGGGAGTCTCATCACCTCCCGCCCCACCATCACAGAGCAGCCTGCTCCTGGCCTGTATTCAAACACCCCTGGGGGCGGCCGCCCTGGGCGTGCTCCCCTTTCCCTGATGGCCGCTAGAACTCCGTGAGGAGAGGCTCGCCAGGGTCACCCAGACAGTCCCTGATCCCACATTGTCCCGACACATGAGGCTTCACCCCGGAGGAAATAGGAAAAGGGAGTGAATCCCATGGGCTCCCCTCACAAAAGGAAAGCCACGTGCTGTCACTTGGGTGCAAGATGGGCTATGAGGCTGGAGAAAGTCTCCCAGGGACGCCTCCTGGAGTCTTTTTTTTTCCTTTGCTACTGTGAATAGTGCTGCAATAAACATATCTGTGCCTGTGTCTTTATAACAACAATTTATTTTCCTTTGGGTATATACCCAGTAATGGGATTGCAGGGTGGAATGGTATTTCTGTATTTATATCTTTGAGAAATCACCACACTGTCTTCCACAATGGTTGAACTAATTTACACTCCTGCCAACGGTGTATAAGCATTCCTTTTTCTCCAAAACCTCGCCACCATCTGTTATTTTTTTATTTTTTAATAATAGCCATTCTGACTGATACGATATGGTATCTCATTGTGGTTTTGATTTGCATTTCTTTAATGATCAGTAATATCGAGCTTTTCTTTTCTTTTCTTTTTTAAAGACAGAGTCTCGCTCTGTTTCACCCAGGCTGGAGCGCAGTGGTGCCATCTTGGCTCACTGCAACCCCCGCCTCCCGGTTCAAGCAGTTCTCCTGCCTCACCCTCCCGAGTAGCTGGGATTACAGACATGCATCACCACACTTAGCTAATTTTTGTATTTTTAGTAGAGACGGGTTGGGGGGGCGGGTTTCACCATGTTCGCCAGGCTGGTCTTGAACTGCCGACCTCAGGTGATACACCTGCCTTGGCCTCCCAAAGTGCTGGGATTACAGGCGTGAGCCACCGCGCCTAGCCAAGCTTTTTTTAATATGCTGGTTGGCCTCAAGTTTGTCTTCTTTTGAAAAGTGTTTGCTCATGCCCTTTGCTCACTTTGGAATATTGTTGTTTTATGGCCGGGTGCGGTGGCTCAGGCCTGTAATCCCAGCACTTTGGGAGGCTGAGGCCAGATCACCTGAGGTCAGAAGTTCGAGACCATCCTGGCCAACATGGCAAAACCTTATTTCTACTAAAAAAATACAAAAAATTAATGGCCTGGTGTGGTGGTGGATTACAGGTGGGTGCCTGTAATCCCAGCTACTCAGGAGGCTGAGACAGGAGAATTGCTTGACCCCAGGAGGCAGAGGTTGCAGTGAGCCGAGATTGTGTGCCATAGCACTTCAGCCTGGGCAACAGAGCGATACTCTGTCTCAAAAATAAAAAATAAATAAAAAATAAAATAAAGTTGCTTGGTTTTTTTCTTGGAAATTTGCTTAAGTTTTTTTCTTTTTTTTTTGAGATGGAGTCTTTCTCAGTCGCCCAGGCTGGAGTGCAGTGGTGCGATCTCAGCTCACTGCAAGCTCTGCCTGCCGGGTTCATGCCATTCTCCTGCCTCAGCCCCCCAAGTAGTTGGGACTACAGGCGCCCGCCACCACGCCCAGCTAATTTTTTTTGTTTTTGTTTTTTTTTTCAGTAGAGACGGGGTTTCACCATGTTAGCCAGGATGGTCTCTATCACCTGACCTCGTGATCCACCTGCCTCGGCCTCCCAAAGTACTGGGATTACAAGTGTGAGCCACTGCACCCAGCCTTAAGTTTCTTATAGATGCTGGATAGTAGACCTTTGTCACGTGTATAGTTTGCAAATATTTTCTCCTCTTCTGTAGGCTGTTTACTCTTGTTGATAGTTTCTTTTGCCATGCACAAGCTTTTTGGTTTAATTAGATCCCATTTGTCAATTTTTGCTTTTGTTGCAATTGTTTTTGGCGTCTTCATCACGATATCTTTGCCAGTTCCTATGTTCAAAATGGTATTACCTAGGTTGCCTTCCAGAGTTTTTATAGTTTTGGGTTTTCATTTAATTCTTTAATCCACCCTGAGTTGATTTTGTATATGGTGTAAGAAAGAGATCCAGTTTCAATCTTCTACATATGGCTAGCCCGTTATCTCAGCACCATTTATTGAATAGGAAGTCCTTTCTCCATTGCTTGTTTTTGTCAGCTTTGTTGAAGATCAGATGATCATAGGTATGTGGCCTTATTTCTAGATCCTCTATTCTGTTTCATTGGCCTATGTGTCTTTTTTTATACCAGTACCATGCTGTTTTGGTTACTATAGCCCTGTAGTGTAGTTTGAAGTTGGGTAGTGTGATGTTTCCAACTTTGTTCTTTTTGCTTAGAATTGTCTTGGCCATTTGGGATCCTTTTTGGTTCTATATAAACTTTGAAATAGTTTTTTATATTTCTGTGAAGAATATCATTAGTGGTTTGATAGGAATAGCATTGAATCTATAAATTGCTTTGGGCAATTTTTCTATCTATGAGTATGAAATGTTTTCCCATTTGTTTGTATCATCTCTAATTTCTTTGAGCAGTGTTGTATAATTCTCCTTGTAGAGATCTTTCACTTTCCTGGTTAGCTGTATTTCTAGGAGTGTGTGTGTGTGGTGATTGTGAATGGAATTGAGTTTTGATTTGGTTCCTGGTTTGGCTGTTGCTGGTGTATAAGAATGCTAGTGATTTTTTTTGTATGTTGATTTTGTATCCTGAAACTTTGCTGAAGTTGTTTATCAGCTTAAGAAGCTTTGGGGCCGAGAATATGGGGTTTTCCAGATGTAGAATCATGTTGTCTGCATCCTAATACCAAAACCTCGCAGAGACACAACAAAAAAGAAAACTTCAGGCCAATATCCTTGGTTAACATTGATGTAAAAATCCTCAACAAAATATTAGCACACCAAATCCAGCAGCATATCAAAAAGCTTGTCCACCATGATGAAGTAGGCTTCATCCTCAGGATGCAAGGCTGGTTCAACATATGCAAATCAATAAATGTGATTCATTGCATAAACAGAACTAAAGACAAAAACCACATGATCATATCAATAGATGCAGAAAAGGCTTTTGATAAAATTCAACATCCCTTCATATTAAAAACTCAATAAACTAGGTATTGCAGGAACATACCTCAAAATAACAAGAGCCATGGGCTGGGCACGGTGGCTCATGCCTGTAATCCCAGCACTTTGGGAGGCCGAAGTGGGCAGATCACCTGAGGTCAGGAGTTCGAGACCAGCCTGGCGAACATGGTAAAACCCCATTTCTACTAAAAATACAAAAAAAATTAGCCAGGATTGGTGGCACGTGCCTGTAATCACAGCTACTAGGTAGGCTGAGGCAGGAGAATCACTTGCACCCATTAGGCGGAGGTTGCAGTAAGCCAAGATCGTGCCATTGCACTCTAGCTTGGGCAAGAAGAGTGGAACTCCATCTCAAAAAATAAATAAATAACAAGAGCCATCTGTCACAAACCCACAGCCAACATCGTACTGAATGGACAAAAGGTGGAAGCATTCCCCTTGAAAACCAGCACAAGATAAGGATCACCTCTCTCACCACTCCTTTTCAACATTAGAAATCCTGGCCACAACAACCAGACAAGAGAAATGAATAAAGGGCATTCAAACAGGAAAAGAGGAGATCAGACACTTTTATAGGTAATGTGTTACATGCTTCGAATTTTCAGGTATAAGGTCTCATATTGCGGCACTACTCACAATAGCAAAGACTTGGAACCAACCCAAATGTCCAACAATGATAGACTGAATTAAGAAAATGTGGCATATATACACCATGGAATACTATGCAGCCATAAAAAAGGATGAGTTCATGTCCTTTGTAGGGACATGGATGAAGCTGGAAACCATCATTCTCAGCAAACTATCACAAGGACAAAACACCAAACACTGCATGTTCTCACTCATAGGTGGGAATTGAACAATGAGAACACTTGGACACAGTAAGGGGAACATCACACACCGGGGCCTGTTGTGGGGTGGGGGGAGGGGGGAGGGATAGCCTTAGGATATGCCTAATGTAAATGACGAGTTAATGGGTGCAGCACACCAACATGGCACATGTATACATATGTAACAAACCTGCACGTTGTGCACATGTACCCTAGAATTTAAAGTATAATAAAAATATATATATAAAATAAAATAAAAATAAATTTGAACAATTTTTATTCATAAAATATTTTGGAAAGGAACATAAAACATGGTAATAGTGGTTTTCTCTCGATTGGAGATAATTTTTTTTTTTATAACAGCGTCATTTATCCTGTTTTCTAAATAGGACTCCAACACCAGAAAAAAAAAAAAGAGGAAAAAACAGATTATAAGTTAAAACAAAAATCTATCTGTATAAGTCTTTACTTGTACAAGTCTGCACAAGTCAGTAAGTTCTGGTCTCTGTAGAGCCAGAACTTCAGAGAAGGTGATTTAATTGTCATCACAGCCCCCCAACTTGCTTTGGGGTTTGTACATCAAGAGACAACTTGAAGGGAATCACTTGAGACCAAAAGAATTATTTACAAAGAAAGATTTCCTGGAATGTGTAAGTTCTACTGATTGCCCATGGAGACGCTAACAGTTGCTCTAACCCCAAATTTTTTAAACATCTCAAGATGGCAACATGAGTATGGAAAACCCCAACACTCATCACCCAATGAATCATTTCTCCAATCATGGGAATGAGGGAAGGATGTAGGAAAGGCTGTTTCATCAGGACTCATTAGGGAGGGTGTCAGTGCAGAGGCAGCCACGGCAGAGCTTTCCTTGTCTTCAACCTGGGCCAAATGAAGCTCTGAGTGCTGAGGGCCTGACAACAAAGTTCTCCGCAGGTTTGGAATGGCCAATGTGCAATGATGGCATCAGCCACAAGAGTGAAACTTGAATCGTGCATGCGGGTCTATAGATCACTGATTACTGCACTATCAATCTCACCTCCCACCCATAAGAGATTACCCAGATAATCAGCCTGTGGCACATACTACTACTACCTACTTGGGAACAAGGGAGAGGAAGGAATTACAAATGAAAACTTCTGAAATGACCACTTCTTATTCCAGCTTAAGCTAGAATAAATGTTTGAATAAATCACCGCATTAAATAACATTTAAAATATGGTACCTTCAGCACATTATAAATATGAAATGTCCCCTCCCCCAACCCCATTTACTTCAGTGCACAGAGTCTCCCAGGCAAGCTTTTCCATCGCTCAGCCAGTGGAATGGATGGTGTGCACAGATGTTACACAAAGCATTTATTTCTCCAAGAAGGCTGAGAGCCAGGAGAATTCATCTCCTTCTGCTAGGACCTCTGCCCCAAGCTTCTGAGGAAATAGTGAATTGGACTCGACAGGGAAAGTAGCTACGTGATCCACTAATGAAAATGCACTGGACAGTGTATGCCTTCCTGCTCTTCTCCATGGCAGAGAGACTTAAAGATAATTAATAAAAATAGCTGTCCCTTCAAACTCAGAGGAGGTTTTCAAAAACAAGTATAAGCAAAAAACAAAGAAATAAAAGGAAAGTAAATCAAACCCCCCAATACTCCTGAAAGTAAAACAGTCTCATGGTGACTGATGTCTGGAAGAAGTTGAGGCAGAAAAGACTGAGGAAGTTGGAAGGGGCTGGCCACAAAAGTGCCTTAAAGAATCCACTACAATGCTCTCCATTTCTAAGGCTGAGTAGCTACTCCCAGTAAGTTAACATTTTTCTGTTAAGAAGAAAACAAAACAAAACAAAAATAAAACCCACTCCAGAAAAAGGGTCAAGAGAAGAGCACTGTAGAAAGTCAAGCAGCTGAGCGCCGGTGGATGACGAAGAGCCCGCGCTGAAGCTGGCCCAGGTAGATCCTCATCTTGGTGCTGTCACTTGTCTTCCTCACCCAGATCTCATTGGCTCCTACAGAACTGATCACGCAGCTCAGTTTCTGGTTGTCCTTTGACTCCAGATAGATGGCCTGGCTCTTGTGGTACCATCTTTTGTCATAGTGCAGTTTGCCATCTTCTATCCGAGCTTCAAACCTCTGGGCTGGAGATTCCGCGGGTGTCGCAGGCAAGTGCTCAGGAGAGGATGGAGATGCTGGTCTCTTGGGTGACTTAAGCTTATTTAATGTTCTCAGATCCTCCATGATCTGTTCATCTGTTAACAAATAGTTTAGCTGGGCTGGAGCAGGTTTCCTCCTCTTGTCTGGGATGGGGACGGGATCATTTGGTCGCCTCCGCAACTTTCTGGTCATGATAGGTCTCACCTGCATAGAATCTCCATTCAGTTCCATTGTCAGCATTTCGTTTTCAATCATTTTCTTCTCTTCTGCTAGCTCAGCAATCAGGTTCTCTTTCAGCTCAACCTTCTTGTCTTCAAATTCTTTCACTGCTGCCTTCTTTTCTTTCATGTAATTTCGTCCCACTTGTTCAGTTTCCAGCTGGAGGAAGAGTTCAGCATTCCGTATCCTCTCTTTGTACTGCTGACCTAGTTTTTTCATTCTCTTCTGATATTCCTGTAATGTACCTTCTTGTAGTTGTTGCAACTGCCTCTCGAGAGAAGCCAGTTTGTCCTGATACATCTGTTCCTTCACTTCCCCATAGTCTTCTTCATCATGCTTTGCCAGGTCAGTTTCACTAGCATCCTCAGTGTCTTCGTCCGACTCGCGGCCCGGCAGCTGCGCTCGTCGTCCTTGGCGCTCTCCAGCTCTTCGTCCTCCCCGGGGACGCTCCAGCCCGGGCGGGGCCGGGGCCAGCAGCCCCGCGGCGCTCATGTCGCCTCTGACCGCAGCTGAGCGTGGCCCACGGACACCGCGGCCACCCACGCTCGGTACTCGCCGTCTGCCTGGCGGTGTCCGAGGGGGCCCCCAACTCGAGGAGCGGCAGCCACTGCGACCCCTTCCCGTCTCCGCCGAGCTCCGCCCCCCGCCAACTTTTTTGTTTCTTTTTTCAAGATGGAGTTTCACTCTGTCACCCAGGCTGGAGAGCGGCGGCGCAATCTCAGCCCACTGCAACCTCTGCCTCCCGGGGTTAAGCACTTCTCCTGCCTCAGCCTCCTGAATAACTGCGATTACGGGCATCCACCACCACACCCGGCTAATTTTTGTATTTTCCGTAGAGACGGGGTTTCACCATGTTGGCCAGGCTGGTCTCAAACGCCTGACCTCAGGTTGATTCACCCACCTCAGCCTCCCAACGTGCTGGGATTACAGGCATGAGTCACCACTCCTGGCCAAACTTTTCTTTTTTAAAACTAAATGTTACTGTGTATATTTGAGGTGACAGCATGATGTCAAAGGTACACGTCAGTAGTAAAATGGTTACTATAGTCAGCAAGTTCACATACCTACCATCTCACATAGGTACTTTTTTGTGTGTCAAGGGCAGCGAAAATCTACTTACTCAACAAAAATCCCAAGACAGTGTCCTCATGTTATACATTAGGTCTCTGGCCTTGTTCATCCGACGTCTGCTACTTTGCGTGTTTTGGCCTTCATCTCCCCACTTCCTGCTGATTGTTTTTGTCGTCTTTGGAGAAATGTCTGTTCAGGTCTCTTGTTAGCTTTTTAACAGGGTTATTTGTCTGCTTAAGTTGTAAGGGTTCTTCATTGATTTTGGATATTAGCCCTTGATCAGTTAGTGACTTGCAAATATTTTTCCCAGTTTGTAGGTTGCCTTTTTTTGATTGTTTCCTTTGCTGCACAGAAGGGTTTTAGTTTGATGCGGTCCTCCTTGTTGACTTTTGCATGCAGCCTGGCTTTTGGTGGATTATCTGAAAAATCATTGCTAAGGCCAGCGTCGAGGGGGCTGTCCCCTACATTCTCTTCTAGGAGTTTCATGGTTTCATATCTTATTTATGTCTTTTATCTAGTTTGAGTTGATTTTCTATAGGGTGTAAGATAAGGGCCCAATTTCATGGTTTGGCCTGTGAAAATCCAGTTTTACAGCATCATTTATTGAAGAAACTGTCTTTTTTCCACTGTGTCCTCTTGGTTGCTCTTGTTGAAAGTTAGTTGACAGTGTATGTTTTGATTTATTTCTAGGCTTCTTATTCTGTTCCATTGGTCTATGTTTTTGTTTTGATGCCAATACCATATATTGTTCTTATTACTATAGCTTTGTATGTAATTTTAAATCACGTAGTGTTATGCCTCCAGCACTAATTTTTTTCCTCTGTATTGTGTTAGCTTGGGGTTTTTTGTGGTTCCATGTCAATTGCAGGATTGTATTTTTCTATGTCTGTGAAAAATGCGATTAGAATTTTGATAGGGATTGTCTTAAAAACTGTATATTTGCTTTGGATAGTATGCCATTTTAACAATTTTAATTCTTCCAATTCAGAAATGTGGGATGTTTTTACATTGTTTGTGTATTCTTAAATTTCTCTCATCGGTGTTTTATAGTTTTCAGTGTACTAGTCTTTCACCTTCTTGTCTAAATTTATTCCTAAGTATTTTATTTTGATTGGTGCTACTGTAAATGGGATTGTTTTCTTGATTTGTTTTTCAGCTAGATTGTTATTTGTGTATAGAAACGCTCCTGATTTTTGTATGTTGAGTTTGTATGCTGCAACTTTACTGAATTCATTTAGTTTTAACATTTTCTTATGGGAAATCTGAGGTTTTTTCATATGGATCATGTCATCTGCAAATAGAGATAATTTGTTTCTTTTTTTAGTTGCCTTTTTTTAAATTTGTCTAATTGCTCTTGCTAGTACTTCCAGTACCATGTTGAATAAAAGTGACAAGGCTAGGCATCCCTGTCTTGAACTCAATCTTAGTGGAAAGACTTTCAATTGTTCCCCATTGATTATGATGTTAGCTGTGGGTTTTTTAGAGGCGGCCTTTATTATTTAGAGGAGCTTTCTTTTCCATCCGTCTCAGCTCAGCCTGGGGACTTCCCATCAAGTGAGGCACTTGTTCAGCTCTTGCATTAGGGACTGTGATTTCTCTGGCTGACCAAGGCATTGATTCTCTGGAAAGCAGGGCACAAATCAGCTCAGGCCCCAACGGCTAGGGTGCCACAGCAACTGGGAGGGGCAGGACACAGCAGCATGGCCCCACAGGGTGGGGTGTATGCTACGGTGTGGATGTGGTTTGTCCCCACCAAAACACATGTTGAAATTTGATTCCCGATGTGGTGGTGGTGGGAGGTGGGGGCTAGTGGGAGGTATTTGGGTGATGGGCAGACCCTTCATGAATAGATGAACGCTGTCTCGTGGGACTGGATGAGTTACCAGGCGTGGGGTGTTATGGAAGTGAGTTTGGCTTCCTGGACCCTCTTGCTTCCTCTCTTGCCATGTGCTCTCCTTGCCTGTGCTGGTTTCCCCTTCCACGTTCTGCCAGGAGTTGGAGCAGCACAAGCCCCTCACCGTGTGCACTGCCCAATCTCAGACTTTCCAGTCACCAGAATATTGAGCCAAAAAAGCCTCTTTTTTAAAAATAAACTACCCAGTCTTGGCCTGGTGCGGTGGCTCACGCCTCTAATCGCAGGATTTTGGGAGGCCGAGGCGGGCGGATCACAAGGTCAGGAGATTGAGACCATCCTGGCCAACACAGTGAAACCCTGTCTCCGCTAAAAATACACAAAATTAGCTGGGCGTGGTGGCGGGCGCCTGTAGTCCCAGCTACTCGGGAGGCTGAGGCAGGAGAATGGCGTGAACCCAGGAGGCGTAGCTTGCAGTGAGCCAAGATTGCACCACTGCACTCCAGCCTGGGTGAGAGAGCGAGACTCTGTCTCAAAAAAAAAATAAAATTAATAATAATAATAAAATTACCCAGTCTTAGATATTCTGTTATAGCTGCACTGAACCTTAAGTACATTGAATTTTATTTGGGTCTCCTTAGTTTTACTTAGTTAATTTCATGGTTTTAAAGTCTTGTACATTTTTGCAGTCTTTAATAAGACAAAACGCTGAGATGTTGGACATTTGAATGCCAAAGGTGATATGAGACATTTAGCATTTCATATTTTGGGAATAGTACCTTATGATTGAAAACTGGGGCCAGGTGTGGTGGCTTATGCCTGTAATCCCAGCACTTTGGGAGGCCGAGGCAGGCAGATCACCTGAGATCTGGAGCTGGAGACCAGCCTGGCCAACGTGGCAAAACCCCGTCTCTGCTAAAAATACAAAAATTACCTGGGCATCACGTTGCATGCCTGTAATCCCAGCTACTTGGGAGGTTGAGGAAGGAGAATTGCTTGAACCTGGGATGCAAAGGTTGCAGTGAGGCGAGATTAGGCTCCGGCCTGGGTAACAGAGCCAGACTCCATCTTAAAAAAAAAAAAAAAAAAAGCGGGGGGAGAGAGAGAGAGAGAGAGATGAAAGAAGGAAGGGAGGGAGGAAGGAAAAAATTGGGTTTACAAGTATGAGCTACTATGCCTGGCCAAGTGCCCAGAGGCTGTGTGCTGTGGGGAGTGCGGTGCCCCGACTGAGGCAGGCACAGGGTCCCAGCTCCTGTTGTCAGATGTGACAGACTCTCGGAGAATGGGAAAGCAATGCCACTTTTCCCACAAATCACTTTTGCTTTGGAAAATATTTTTCACAAAAAGATGCTATTTATGTTGCTCTGTAATGGTCTTGTTTCTGTTATTTGAAAACAGATTAATAAATATTTTAAATGTGACTCAGCTTCCATTTCTTTTCATTGTTGTTAGTCATGGTTCCTTTTATTCTCTTTTCCCTCAGCTCTATTCAGGTATAACTGATCAACATTGTATATGTTTACACTTTACAATGTAAATTAAAATTAAATTTCTAAGCCCCTCAATGAACTGAACGGATCCTCCTCTCAGCCAAGGGGACCCAAATAAACCTGAAAACTTCATTCAGGCCATGAGGGAGAAGAGGGGTCGGGCACGCCTCAGTATTCCCTCCACCCTTTGTGGTTCAGACCCAACTGAGCAGCAGTGACATGAAAATAGAGATCCTAAGACTGACGGAAGAAACGCCTTGTAGCAATAAGATACCCAACTTCCAATGCGCTCTGGTATAGCATCACCTGAAAGCAGGTCCTGAAGGAAGTCTGAGTATTTTACCCCGAGACAGATTTCTCTGACATTTTTTGGAATGGCCCAACACAGCTGTCTCTTTGTGGGAAATTTGCAATCTGTAGAGCATATGGCTCCATCACTAGGTCTTTCCAGAAAGTCTGTTACCTTTTAAGTCCAATAAGAGACGTTTACGTCTATCCTCTCTGAAGCCCTCTGCCTGGAAGTGTCATTTACGTGACAAGAACCTTGGCTCCCACAACTTCCCAAACTCCCACCCCCGACCACACCATGTTACCTAATTGAAGCTGATTTCAACTTTTAAGACAGAGTTTAACCCTTTCAACCAACTGCCAATCAAGAAACCTTTGAATCCAACTGTGACCTGGAACCCACCCCCAGCACGCCACCCGATTCCCCAGACAGAAGGCATGGAAGCCATGCATCCAGGACCCCCCAGCCCCATACGCCTTGCTCTATGCAGATCATTTCTAATCAAATTGTAAATATAGCCCTTTTCTGAATTCTCTGAGTCATTTCTAGTGAAGTTTTGAACCTGAGGAAGTCATGGTAATCCTTGAATTTATAGCCAGTTTGTCAGAAGTGCAGGTGGCTTGGGGACTCCCAAAGTTCAGCTGGTGTCTGAAGTAAGGGCAGTTTTGTGGGACTCAGCTCTGGAGTTGTGGAATCTGGTGCTAACCCTGAGTGGTGAGGGTCGGAACTGCCTTGCAGTCCACCCGGTTAGGCTCCACATATACGCTGTGGAGTAATGGGGACGGCATTCCTTGTTGAGAAAGCTTACACCTGCAACTCTGCTGTCTAGGCGGAGTATAACACCAGCGGAAACAGACGTGGGCACAGACACACGGCCGCCCCACACAAATCCCACCCCACACAGACACACCCCACCGCCCACGCGCACAAACTCATACCAGCTAAAGGAAACGCAACTGCTTGTGGAAACACGGTCACAGTGCTTTACCTGGAAAATAATGTTCCTTCATCACCACCAATCCTCATTCTAACCAGAAAGCTGGAGTCAGGGTGGCTCCCCAGACGAAAGCCAGCAAGGAAGACTCACCTTCCCTATCATCTAGATTTCTCCTTCACAAGTGGCACATGCAGAATATGCATGAATTTTCCCCTCTGAGGCCACCTACAGTGACAGAAAAGAAGGCACTACAGTACCATAGGTTCCGATGTGTTCTCTAAGCACAGGTGGGTTTTTTTTTTTGTTGTTTGTTTGTTTGTTTCTTCCTGTTGACTTTATAAAACAAGAGGATAAATAGGGGTCAAGTCAAAGGAATCTATTTTTTTCTTTTTTCTTTTTTTTTTTTTTTGAGACAGAGTCTTGCTCTGTCCCCCAGGCTGGAGTGCAGTGGCGTGATCTTGGCTCACTGCAACCTACGCCTCCCAGGTTCAAGCGAATTCTCTGCCTCAGCCTCCTGCATAGCTGGGACTACAGGCACGTGCCACCACGCCTAGCTAATTTTTTGTATTTTAGCAGAGACGGGGTTTCACCATGTTGGTCAGGATGGTCTCTATCTCCTGGCCTCATGATCTGCCCACCTTGGCCTCTCAAAGTGCTGGGATTACAGGCGTGAGCCACTGTGCCCGGCCAAGTCAAAGGAATCTAAAAGCAAGGGTAGAGAAAACCTACTCCTGTCATAGGGCAGACTTTTGCTGGAGAATGTGTCTGTCATGTCTATTGTTTTTTGTTTTTTTTGTTTGTTTGTTTGTTTTTTGAGGTGGAGTCTCCGTCAACCAGACTGGAGTGCAGTGGTGCAATCTCGGCTCACTACAACCTCCACCTCCCGGGTTCAAGAAGTTCTCTTGCCTCAGCCTCCCAAGTAGCTGGGATTACAGGCATGTGCCACGACGCCTGGCTAATTTTGGCATTTTTAGTAGAGATGGGATTTCGCCATATTGACGAGGCTGGTCATGAACTCCTGACCTCAGGTGATCCACTCGCCTAGGCCTCCCAAGTGCTGGGATTATAGGCCACCACGCCCGGCCTGTCATGTTTATTTCAATCAGCAGTTGCAAAATTATTAACCCACGGAGGAAATAATTGCTACTGAGGAAAAGGCTCTCTATGCACAGTGAAGAACCTGACACAACCCAGCTTATGTGCCCTCCTGAATCAGGCCTCGTTTGGTAAGAGACTTCTTTCCCAAGCCCTTGAGGAAACAGCCGCTAACCTCTGTAATGTATGTGGCCACGTTTCCATAACTGAACTCAATTGATAAAACAGCAAAGCACCACTTCTACCTCAGAAAAAGAAAGACAATCTTAACCTGGCATTAGATGGGACCCCTCATCTGTCCTGCCACTAGGAAGCCACTGTAATTCATCCTCTGGAGGAGCTGGGTGGACGGGGCGGTGGTGGGACATCGGGATGCTGCCCGTGCATGGCCCCACCCCAGCTGGACATGAGAGTTGCAAAAACAAGGTGCTAGACGCAAGCTATAACCGACCATGCCGAGTTCACGTTTGTCCCGTCCCTAGGTTGTGTATGTGCCAGGATTTGAGCACTTCTAGGGCATATGCTGACAACGTTATCGAATACCACAAACCATCGCCTCAGTTCCTAGTTTTGGGTCAGATACTGAGAATCAGTCCTAGCACTGACAGAGATTGACAGTTGTCCTTGTCTCCCAACATTCAGAATCTGTGAGCTGCCCAGAGGCATCTGGACTTTCTATGTGCTTTTAATGCATCCCTCAGCATGGCCAGAATGAAGACATCAGAAAATACCAATTGTTGGAGAGGCTGGGGAGCAACCAAACTGTCTTCCTCAGCTGGCGTGATATCCGTTGCACGCTCCACCTGGGAAACTCTGTCAGTAGCTGCTGAAAGTGGACAAGCACATCTGCGATGACCGGCGACCCCTTGGGTGGAGAATATCCGGCAGAAAAGAGCGTGTGTGCTCCCCAAAGACACTCACAGGAAAGCAGCACTTTCATCACCTCCCAAAGCCATAACCACCCAAACCCTCACTGACAGTAGAACCTGTGAACAGATTCTAGGACATTTCAGCCCTGGCACGCTATGTCCCCGCGGGAAGGACAGATCCTTAAACACATGCGACAACGTGGGCCAATCTCGCAAAACAGAGTAAATGAAGCTCACACAAAAGGAGTCCTGATCTCCTTTATTTCCAAGGAGGCTGCAGTTACCCTTGATGGGGAGGCTCACCACAGGAAGCTGGCCGCAGAAGACTTATCGGGGATGGCTTCCAGTCATGGGTTTTGTTGTGGTTTTCATTTCAATCTGGTTAATGATTAAATTTCATGAAAATTCATTGAGCTGTACATTTATGACAGGAATGACTTTTTGCTATGTATACAATATTTCAATTAAAAGTAAAAAAAAAAGAAGAAATAAACAGCATGTCTCAAACACATTATGAAAATCTCAGCTGGGCGCGGTGGCTCACACCTGTAATCCCAGTACTTTGGGAGGCCGAGGCGGGCGGATCATGAGGTGAAGAGATCGAGACCCATCCTGGCCAACGTGGTGAAACCCTGTGTCTACTAAAAATACAAAAATTAGCTAGATGTGGTGGTGGGCGCCTGTAATCCCAGCTACTCGGGAGGCTGAGGCAGGAGAATCACTTGAACCCTGGAGACAGAGGTTATAGTGAGCTGAGATCATGCTACTGCACTCCAGCCTGGCAACAGAGCGAGATTCCGTCCCAAAACAAAAACAAAAACAAAAGAAGAAAGAAAGAAAATCTCAGCAGATATGGAGTGGCAGGTAGGGTAGCTGAAGGATCTGTCATAAACCCAGAGTCACACGACTGTACCCAAGTGCAGAGATGGCATCAGGACTTTTAGAGTAACTGTCTTCACAGCACCAGAAAGCCCCAGATTGCTGCAGGACTCTCCAGCACTCACACCTATTTAACCACAGGGCAGAATACTCCCAAAACAGCACTGACAAGCGCTTATCTGGTTCAACGGAGGGTGGAAGAGGAGAGGGTTGGGATCAACAGGTACCTGACTACCTCACACATCCAGGTGCCAGCAATGGTCCCAGGAGGCTGGGACCTTCTTTCTCCTTGGTCAGATCACAATGCTCCTATAAATCTTTAACAAACCACAGTTAGCTGTTTACATACTTTCCATTAATCCCACAGTTAGTTGCAAAAACTACATGATTACCGCTTTTGCGTTTTATCTTAGCGCTCTAAAATTATGCTAGCTTATATGCAGGGATGAGAAAAAGCCCATTAAATAAAAATGGAGTCAGTTTTGTTAGCACTTTTCCTGTTTCACTGTTGCAGGATCATGGCTCCTTTCTGAGAAAAACCACAGGAAAACTTGACCATGTACACGTGGAACCTAATAAGTGCTGACTCAATGTCACCATGGCCATCATTCCCTCTACCACGCTCCCTCCTCAGTGTCACCATGGCCATCATTCCCTCTGCCACACTCCCTCCTCAATGTCAGCCATGGCCATCATTCCCTCTGCCACGCTCCCTCCTCAATATCACCATGGCCATCATTCCCTCTGCCAGCTCCCTCCTCAATGTCAGCCATGGCCATCATTCCCTCTGCCACGCTCCCTCCTCAGTGTCACCATGGCCATCATTCCCTCTGCCACGCTCCCTCCTCAGTGTCACCATGGCCATCGTTCCCTCTGCCACGCTCCCTCCTGAATGTCAGCCATGGCCATCGTTCCCTCTGCCAGCTCCCTCCTCAATGTCAGCCACGGCCATCGTTCCCTCTGCCACGCTCCCTCCTGAATGTCAGCCATGGCCATCGTTCCCTCTGCCAGCTCCCTCCTCAATGTCAGCCATGGCCATCGTTCCCTCTGCCACGCTCCCTCCTCAGTGTCAGCCACGGCCATCGTTCCCTCTGCCACGCTCCCTCCTCAGTGTCAGCCACGGCCATCGTTCCCTCTGCCACGCTCCCTCCTCAGTGTCACCACGGCCATCGTTCCCTCTGCCACGCTCCCTCCTCAGTGTCACCACGGCCATCGTTCCCTCTGCCACGCTCCCTCCTCAGTGTCACCACGGCCATCGTTCCCTCTGCCACGCTCCCTCCTCAGTGTCACCACGGCCATCGTTCCCTCTGCCACGCTCCCTCCTCAGTGTCACCACGGCCATCGTTCCCTCTGCCACGCTCCCTCCTCAGTGTCACCACGGCCATCGTTCCCTCTGCCACGCTCCCTCCTCAGTGTCACCACGGCCATCGTTCCCTCTGCCACGCTCCCTCCTCAGTGTCACCACGGCCATCGTTCCCTCTGCCACGCTCCCTCCTCAGTGTCACCACGGCCATCGTTCCCTCTGCCACGCTCCCTCCTCAGTGTCACCACGGCCATCGTTCCCTCTGCCACGCTCCCTCCTCAGTGTCACCATGGCCATCGTTCCTTCTGCCACGCTCCCTCCTCAATGTCAGCCATGGCCATCGTTCCCTCTGCCAGCTCCCTCCTCAATGTCAGCCATGGCCATCGTTCCCTCTGCCACGCTCCCTCCTCAGTGTCACCATGGCCATCGTTCCCTCTGCCACGCTCCCTCCTCAGTGTCACCATGGCCATCGTTCCCTCTGCCACGCTCCCTCCTCAGTGTCACCATGGCCATCGTTCCCTCTGCCACGCTCCCTCCTCAGTGTCACCATGGCCATCGTTCCCTCTGCCACGCTCCCTCCTCAATATCACCACGGCCATCATTCCCTCTGCCACGCTCCCTCCTCAGTTTCACCATGGCCATCATTCCCTCTGCCACGCTCCCTCTTCAGTGTCACCACGGCCATCATTCCCTCTGCCAGCTCCTTCCTCAATGTCAGCCATGGCCATCGTTCCCTCTGCCACGCTCCCTCCTCAGTGTCACCACGGCCATCATTCCCTCTGCCACGCTCCCTCCTCAGTGTCACCACGGCCATCATTCCCTCTGCCACGCTCCCTCCTCAGTGTCACCATGGCCATCATTCCACCTCCAGGTGAGTCAGCATTGGCACCATTGAGGACAGATGATAATCATTTTCCACAACAATGACAATCACAACCAATCTCACCGGCCAGTGTGTTGTGGCCACCGCCAGATCCCCAGGGAGGCCTCACAATGGGGACTCTTCCATGGGGACCGGCCATCTGCCTGCTCCACGTCTTCTCATTTGCTTTTCTTAAGCTTCTCACATCTCTCCAATAGCCAGAGAGAGTACCGCGCACCAAAGGGTTAGCTATGAGGCCTGACCCAAGACAGGAGGAAAAGTGGTTCAAAAGTTCTAGCACACTAGGGTGTTCCTCTCCATTGTGGGTGACTTCGCTTGTTCCTGACACACTTCACACCCATGGCGTCTGTGTCTGGGAGGCTGTTCAGATCCACGGCTGCTGCTGAGGGTGCTCCGCATACTTCACAGGACTTCATTTTCTTTCCCCAGAAACACTCTGAAGTCACACAGTGAGTGGCGCACCTCATCACTGACGCTAAATCCCGACTCCTCTTGCTCCTCTTGACAGTCTCGAGGTCTTGCCATTCACGGCCTCAGAAAGCCGGCACAGCCGTCTCAGGCCAGGCCTGTTTTCTCCTGCAGTACGTTCTCGTGTTTTTATTTTTCCTTTTTTTGAGACAGAGTCCTCGCTCTGTCACCCAGGCTGGAGTGCAGTGGCGTGATCTCGGCTCACTCCGAGCTCCGCCTCCCGGGTTCACGCCATTCTCCTGCCTCAGCCTCCCGAGTAGCTGGGACTACAGGCGCGCGCCACCACGCCCAGCTAGTTTTTTGTATTTTTAGTAGAGACGGGGTTTCACCGTGTTAGCCAGGATGGTCTCCATCTCCTGACCTCATGATCCGCCTGCCTCAGCCTCCCAAACTGCTGGGATTACAGGCGTGAGCCACCGCGCCCAGCCAAATAAATCTTTAAGAGATTTTGAAGAGTCTTCACAAATTTTATGTCAATGTGGATATAGCTAATGACTCACATACATTAGCATACATATTTTTGATAATTCAATAAATTTTATTCCCAAGTACGTACAGATTTTATTTCCAAGATGATGATAAGAAAATTGGAAGATGGGAAATACTTTTTAGCAACATGGTTTTTCACTTGTGTATCTGCTAAAATCCTGGGGTGTCACATAGACACGCTAAACCTCGTCTCTACTAAAAACACAAAAAATTAGCTGGGCGTGGTGGCGGGTGCCTGTAGTCCCAGCTACTCAGGAGGCTGAGGCAGGAGAATGGCGTGAACCTGGGAGGCAGAGCTTGCAGTGAGCCAAGATCACGCCACTGCACTCCAGCCTGGGCAACAGAGTGAGACTCTGTCCCAAAAAAAAAAAAAAAAGGAGGAGGGGAATGAAAGGAGATGAAAGAGGAGATAAATTACATTCAGATGGTGGCCTCTTCTGTCGGCATTAAATTGGCCAAATGACCTTCAGGGTGTCCAGAGCAGCAGCGGTGATGGGGCAGCCATGGGAAGGAAAGGGGAGAGTTAGAGTCGAGGGGCCATTTGGGCCCCGCTGTCCTGGGGCTGTGACGCCAACCCCAGAGGCTCTAGTGTGCTCATCTCTAGAGTCCTCTCCACAGCCTGGATCACTTCCTCCCTACAGCGAGGGAGGGGCCTCTGATTTCCCACATGCTTTCCCAGCCTTCAAATTCCATAACCCTCAAATTCCCCAGGGAGGGGAGGCCCGTGTCATCCCCTTTCCCCAGGAGGCGGCCACTGTCTCCATGATGCTCTGTGCCTGGCACAGACTTCCCTCTCTGCTCTAACCGTTAGGGCCTGATTTTGTTCTCCTGATTGATGCCCGTTTCCTTTCTCCATGTCAACCTCCACCAGTGCTACTGGTCTCCAATAGAACAACATTGGAAAGAAGGGCACTGCCAGTCCTTCCAGTAAATCCATGGATCCCACCCTAGGTCAGGGACATGGCCACAGGCCTGGGTTGTGTTGGGATCTGTGAGAGATGATGATGACCAAAGCCTGGGATGACCCTGGAAATGTAAACTATTCAAGCCTAACAAGAATCCCACTAGCATCTCAATGATTGGCAAGGACAGAACGGGATTCCAGGGAAAGCCCGTTTTCCCATTGCCTTAATCCGCAGGTGAAGCCGTGGTTGTTAGCATATGAACGAAGGGGCCCTGCCAGGGTTTGCCTGAGCTGTGGGAGGACTGGGCGGAAGGGCACCTGGCCGGCCTGACCCAGGGAACACGCTGGGCCTGATGGCAGCGTGGGGAACAGGACAAGGCTGCCAGGCCAGAGCAAAGGGCGTGACAAAAAATTGAGCCCTGTGCCGGCTGCCCAGTGGCCCCGTCCTGGGCGTGGTGGATTCCTGGAGCCAGGTCACGGGGAGGGTGAGAGCCAGTGCCTGCAGCAACACAGCAGCCCCTCCACGCATGTCCCCTAGGATTCCTGCCAGCCACGGAGGGCCTCGGTGACAGCTGGACACTGACTTCTCAAATGAAACCCAATTAAGGCTTCATTCCTAACCCAAGGATTTGGGATTGGGTGAGGAGTGGCCAGAAACATGCTGAAGCGTGGGCTTCCCCTCGCGACCCCACGGCGGGTGAAGCGTGGGCTTCCCCTCGTGCCTCCACAGCCGGGGCATACATATTCATCCCAGAGGAAGGATTCTCTGCATCATCCAACCCTGTGGGTGCCTTTCAACCCGGAGCCGATGGTGAGGACGGGACAGGAAGGTGCTGCTGCAGGTCCCAAGGGTGCAGAGGGAGAGGGTGGACTCCTCCCACCTCCTGGCACACACGTGGGAGACTTTGTCTCCAGGGAGACTTAGGGGCTGTGAGGGGCTGTGTCCCACATCACTCCCCGCATAGCACCAAATGCCACACCCACATACTAATCCCGTGTTCTCCATTCACAAAGGATGCCATCCCATCAAAACCCAAGGATTTAGTGCTTTCTGTGGCACAGGCAGGAAAGATCTGGTTTTCTGCAAAAGGTCATCTTTAAACACCAGAGCAAGAAATGAATATGACAAGCAGAGCACACACAACATCCATGCAAACACAACCTCTTAGGACTCTGTCTTAATTAAAATACAAAAGGAGGCCGGGCTCGGTGGCTCTTGCCTATAATCCCAGCACTTTGGGAGGCCGAGGTGAACAGATCTCGAGTCCAGGATTTCAAGACTAGCCTGGGCAACATGGCGAAACCCTGTCTCTACAAAAAGTACAAAACTTAGCCAAGCATGGTGGCATGCACCTGTATTCTCAGCTACTTTCTGGAGGCTGAGGTGGAACGATTGATTGAGCCCAGGAGACGGAGGTTGAGCCACAGTGGCACACTGACTGCACTCTAGCCTGGGTGACAGAGTAAGACCCTGTCTCCAAAAAGAAAAAGAAAAAAAAAAGGAATAAATCAGACTTCTGCACCTGGCTCCTTTTCCATTTACTGATTTTATAGCCCCAATCCTACTGCGCCCGTAAGAACCCTCTGCACAGGCCCCACCTGGAGTCCTTCTCTACCTGAAGAGGCTTCATCCTTATGGCTGCAGTCAGGCAAGCTGTCCTTGAGCCCATCTGTAGAGACACAAACATCAGCAGAAAGGTGATTCCAGAGAGTTACTCACCCAGCTCTTCTACTCTATGTGCAACCACGTGGAGGACACAAGGTCTCCTGCCTTGTCCTGTGTCCTCAGATTCTCCCTGTGCTCTGTGGACTCAGAGGCTGTCAACAAGGCACGGCTCATAGTCGAGAGCCTTCAGGTGAGAGGGAGGAGCTGACGACATTCCCTTCCAGCTGTACACTTCCACTGGACCATTACGGCTCTCACCTGCAAACCGATAACCCTGAAATTCCAGCTTTGATGCATGTGCTTTGAGTTAGATGAGTTCAGTGAACACAACTGATGCGAGGCTCACAGAAGCTGCATGAGAGAAGGTTCTGGGAGGATGGAAATGTTTTCTGCAGTATAGACATATGGCTACTGTGCACTCAAAGTATAGCTCTGGTGAGGAGGTCCTGAATTTTAAATTTTACTATTTTATTTTTGAGACAGGGTCTTGCTCTGTCACCCAGGCTGGAGTGCAGTGGTGCGATCTCAGCTCACTGCAACCTCCGCCTCCCAGGTTCAAGCGATTCTCCTGCCTCAGCCTCCCAAATAGCTGTAACTACAGTTGTGCACCAACACACCCGGCTAATTTTTGTATTTTTAGTAGAGACAGGGTTTCACCTTGTTGGCCAGGCTGGTCTTGAACTCCTGACCTCAGGTGATCTGCCCACCTCGGCCTCTCAAAGTGCTGGGATTACAGGCGTGAGCCACCGCACCTGGCCTCCTCCTGACACTTTTACAAAACATTTTGCTGACCAAGAACGATACAGAAATTTTGTCTCCAGTGTTCAAATATGCATGTCAAGGAGGAAAACAAATTCTGAAGGAACTTTTTTAAAAGGCAACTACCTGAAAAACTGTGATAAAATATGTGTAACACGAAATTTCCCATCTGCATCATTTCAAGTGTTCAGTAATGTTAAGAGCCTTCAATTGGCATGCTACCATCACCTCCATCATCTCCGGAGGTCGTTCCTCATCCTCACTGAAACTCTGCCTGTTAAACAGCCACTCCCCTTTCCCTCCTCCCTCCAGCCCCTGGCTTCCTACTAGACCTAGTATACTTCAAGCATGCCCCTGTATACTTCATAGACACATTCTACTTTGTGTCTCTATGAAATATACTAGGTACTTCATGTGAGTGGAAATACACAATATTTGTCCTTTTGTGTCTGCCTTATGTCATTCAGCATAGTCCTCAAGATTCATTTATGTTGAGGCCTAGGTCCAAATACCCTTTTTTTGTAAGGTTGAATAATATTCCATTGTATGTACATACCGCATGTTATTGATCCCTTCGTCTGTCAATGGATATGAGTTGCTCCCACCTTTTATCTATTTTGAATAACACGGCTATCAACAGGGATGGGTGTCTCTTTATTTCCTTGCTTTCAATTTTTGGGGGATATAAACCCAGAAGTGGAATTGCTGGAGCGTCCCTAGGTATAATTTCCGAGGAACTGCCTTACTGTTTACTAGAGGGGCGGCACTATTTTACATTCCCACCAGCAGCGCACAAGGGTTCCAGTCTCTCCACATCTTCACCAACATTCGTTATTTTCTGGGTTTTCTTTGATACTAGTCAATGTAGTAGGAGTGAAATGGAATCTCGTTGTCATTTCCATCTGCCTAATGATTAGTGATGCTGAGTATGGAAAAATGTCCATTCAAGTCCTTTGCTCGTTTGCTTTTTTTTTTTTAAGACAGAATCTCACTCTGTCACCCAGGCTGGAGTGCAGTGGCGTGATCTCGGCTCACTGCAACTTCCACCTCCCAAGTTTAAGCAAGTCTCCTGCCTCAGCCTCCCAAATAGCTGAGATTACGGGCACGTGCCACCACACCCGGCTAATTTTTGTAGTTTTACTAGAGACGGGTTTCACCGTGTTGGCCAGGCTGGTCTCAAACTCCTGACCTCAGGTGATCTGCCTGCCTCGGCCTCCCAAAGTGCTGGGATTACAGGCATGAGCCACCGTGCCCGGCCTTACTCATTTCTGAATTTGACTGTTAGGTTTTTGTTATTTTAATTGAAGTGTAATATTCATACAGAGAAGCCACCAGTCCCCAGAGGGCAGCTTGGTAAATTATCATAGAGTGAATACGTCTGGGACACCAGCCCTCAGATCAAGAAATAGAATAATACCAGAGCCACCCTCCCCCAGAGCACTAAGATCATCGCTATCCTGACTTCTCACCAGATGTTTCTTTGGCCTGTTTTAGGGCTTCGCAGAAACACAATCGTGCCGTACGCATTCATTTGTGTCTGGCTGCTTCTGCTCAACATTATGTTGCTGAGATTCACCAACTGTGCATGGCGGCTGTTAATCCATTTTCAGTGCTGTAAGAACTTTACTCTATAAATATATTGAGAGGTACTTATCCATTCTCCTGTTGGAAGTTGGGGCTATTGTGAAGGGTGCTGGTATAAACATTCTAGTGCACGTCGCACGTCATTTGGTGAACACGTGCACAGTGCACAGTTCTTTTGGGTCTATGCACAGGAGTGGAATGTGGGGATCACAGGTGTGGTCTCCTTTAGTAGGTATTACCCAGGGGTTTTCCAAAGTAGTTGTGCTATTTTACATTCCCAATAGTATATGAAGTTTCAGTTACTCCACATTCTTGCCCAAACTTGGTATCAACAGTGTTTTTAATTTTAGCCATTCTGGTAGGTGTAATATTGATTTCTCACTGTGGTTTAAATTTGATGGCTTATGAGGCTGAGCATGTTTTAAATGCTTTTTGGCCATTTGGATGTTCATTTGCTCTTTCCTCTCCCTCCTTCCCTCCCTCCTCCCTCCCTCCCCCCTCCTCCCTCCCTTTCTTCTTTCCCTTTTGTGTCCCTCTTCATTTCTTTCACCCATTGTCCTATTGGTCTGCCAGCTTTTTTCTTAATTTTTTAAAAAATTTATTTTACTTTAGGCCAGGCGCGGTGGCTCATGCCTGTAATCCCAGCACTTTGGGAGGCCGAGGCAGGTGGATCACGAGGTCAGGAGATCGAGACCATCCTGGCTAACACGGTGAAACCCCGTCTCTACTAAAAATACAAAAATTAGCTGGGCATGGTGGCATGTGCCTGTAGTCCCAGCTACTCGGGAGGCTGAGGCAGGAGAATGGCGTGAACCCAGGAGGCAGAGCTTCCAATGAGCTGAGATCACGCCACTGCAATCCACCTGGGCGACAGAGCGAGACTCCATCTCAAAAAAAAAAAAAAAATTTACTTTAAGTTCTGGGATACATGTACAGAACGTGCAGGTTTGTTACATAGGTAAACATGTGCCATGGTGGTTTGCTGCACTTATCAACCCATCACCTAGGTATTAAGCCCCCGCATGCATTTTTATTAACTTACAGGAATTCTCTTTATACTCTACATGTAATTTATCTTTTCACCCTCCTCCATTCCCCACCTCTTTTTTTTAAGAGACAGAGTCTCACCCTGTCACCCAGGCTGCAGTGCAGTGGCACAATCATGGCTCACTGCAGCCTCAGCCTCCCAGGCTCAAGTGTTCCTCCTGCCTCAGCCTCCCAAGTATCTGGGACCACAGGCATGCACCACCATGCCCAGCCAATTTTTCATTTTTTGTAGAGACGAGGTCTTGCTAAGCTGCTCAGGCTGTTCTCTAACTCCTGACCTCAAGTGATCCTCCCGCCTTGGCCTCCCAAAGTGCTGGGATACAGCGTGAGCCACCACACCCGGCCCCATCTTTTTACTCTTATTGATGAAAAAATTCTTAATTTTACTATCATCCAATGTATCAATCATTTTCTTTGGGGATAGTGTTTTGTCTTATTGAAGAAATTTTTACCTGCCTCCTAAGGAGCCTTAAAAATCTCCATATGCCCACAAAGCCCCACTGTTCTAACGTCTATTTTGTGCTAGAAAATAAACGAGGCACTGTCCCAGAGGCTATGCCTATCTTGTGGGAAAACTGTCTTCATCATCATTTGCTAAGATGGGAGATGATCGGGATGAGGACAATCTCCATGGCTCCCGGCATCTGATCCCTTCCTGCATTAGAGAGAGTGGGCCTGATGCCATCGTGGGCCCAGCCCCACCTGCACCCCACGGGGAAAGGGCAAGAGGAATGGAGAAGGTGTGGTGTCCTTGGGCAGAGCCAGCCCAGAGATGTGGCTCTGCAAACAGAATGAGGGTACAGATGAGTCTGCCTGCATCGCCATGGGGCTCCGGGGGCTGCAGGAGGTGGGAGAGAAGCAGGTAGAGGAGGGATCCAGCAGGAAGAAGAGCAGAGCATTCTCCCTGGAAAGGGAGAAAGAAGGACGCACCTGGCCGGGCGCGGTGGCTCAGGCCTGTAATCCCAGCACTTTGGGAGACAGAGGCAGGCGGATCACGAGGTCAGGAGATGGAGACCATCCCGGGAGGCGGAGGTCCCAGGAGTCTGGTGATACCCTGTCTCTACAACAAATACAAACATTAGCTGGGCGTGATGAGAGGCACCTGTAATCCCAGCTACTCAGGAGGCTGAGGCATGAGAATCGCTTGAACCTGGGAGGCAGAGGTTGCGGTGAGCGGAGATCGTGCCACTGTACTCCAGCCTGGGTGACAGAGCGAGACGCTGTCTCAAAAAAAAAAAAAAAAAAAAAGGACGCACCTTTCATTTAACAGCTCAGTGTTCCAGTGACCGGAGGTGAGGTCGCAGCTGCTGGTCCCACAGAGCCTGTCTCTGGCGTTAGTTGTTTAGATGTCAGAATTGGTGAAAAGTTTGAGATTGTACCAGCTGGTCCGGGAAAGGTGATGGGGGAGCTATAAAGCTTGCAGCAGGGCAGTCAGGGATGTCCGGTGCACAGGGGCTCCAGGGCACGTGAGCCACACGGTGCTTAGGGCCAGGCCTCCCAGGAGTGACCCAGACCAGCCTTTTCTTTCTCATTCTCTCACTCTCTGAATTCAAAAGCTTGAACATGCCACAAAATGTCCACCCAATAAAAAGAAAGTATTTGCCTACTGGGCTCAGACATGGTATTAAGGAAATTGCAAATCTACTGACTGTGACAGAAAGCAAATCAGTGGCTGCTTGGGATGGGGGGGGGTGGGAGGGGCTGTAGGGAGGGATTCCAAAGAATCACGAGGAAGCTTTGGGAGTCGTGATGCTCCTGGTCATGGTTTTGCGGGTGCGTATGTGTGTCAACATCGATCAAAAAAAAATTTTTTTTTTTTGAGATGGAGTTTCACTCTTGTTGCCCAGGCTGGAGTGCAGTGGCGTGATCTCGGCTCACTGCAATCTCCGCCTCCCGGGTTCAAGTGATTCTCCTGCTTCAGCCTCCAGAGTAGCTGGGATTACAGGCATGCACCACCACACCTGGCTAATTTTTTATATTTTTAGTAGAGACAGGGTTTCACCATGTTGGTCAGGCTGGTCTCGATCTCCTAACCTCACGTGATCCACCCACCTCAGCCTCCCAAAGTGCTGGGATTACAGGCGTGAGCCACCACGCCTGGCCTTGTTCTCTTGTATGTGAGTTACCCCTCCGTGAGGCTGCTAAACATCCCCCCAGCACACACACGCACAGACACACACCTGCACGCCCTCACGTAGTTTGCGAGGCAGTGGTTCAAGTTACACGTTAATCCCTCAAGCGTGCTCATCTCACTCTCCAAACCTGCCCTCTTGCAGGGTCCATGCTTCTTCTAAGTGTCCTGGTCACAAGGCAGCTGGATCGACACTCAGAGGTACAGAGCAGAGCAGAGTGTGGTCCCTGAATCTGTCTCACCCCCACGATCTTTACACACAGAGACCTTCCCAGGAGCTGTGACTTGAACTTCACAATCTGCAGGGTCCACCCAGGAGCCGTGTCCTCCTCACAGGCAATTGGATCCCCTCCTCTCTCAACCTGTGTGGGAAGACTGGAAACAAAAAATAGAGAAAGTTGGAGGTAAAACACTAAGGGGATGGGCATCCCCAGGACAGAGGAAAACACTGAGGGGATGGATGGGCCACACCTGAGCATCCTCAGGACCGAGGGAAACACTGAGGGGATGGATGGGCCACATCTGAGCATCCCCAGGACCGAGGAAAACACTGAGGGGAGGGATGGGCCACACCTGAGCATCCTCAGGACCGAGGGAAACACTGAGGGGCTGGATGGACCACACCTGAGCATCCCCAGGACCGAGGAAAACACTGAGGGGCTGGATGGGCCACACCTGAGCATCCTCAGGACCGAGGGAAACACTGAGGGGATGGATGGACCACACCTGAGCATCCCCAGGACCGAGGAAAACACTGAGGGGCTGGATAGGCCACACCTGAGCATCCTCAGGACTGAGGGAAACACTGAGGGGGTGGATGGACCACACTTGAGTGACCCCAGGACAGAGGGAAACACTGACGGGATGGATGGGCCACATCTGAGAGTTCCCAGGGCCGACATAAAAAACCTATTGGGATAGACCAAACCTGTGAGTCCCCAGGGTGCAGTAAACACTAAATTAATAGACCACACCTGAGGGTCTCGAGGACCGAGGTAAAACACTCAGGGGATGGATGGGCCATATCTGAGGGCCCCCAGGACAAAGGTAAACAATAAGGGGATGGGCCACACCTCAGGGTCCCCAGGACAGAGGTAAACACTAAGCGGATGGATGAACCACAACTGAGATTCCCCAGAATAGAGATAAAACACTTTGGGGATCGACCACATCTGAGGGGCCCAAGGCAGAGGTAAACACTAAAGAAATGGATGGACCACACCTAAGGGTTCCCAGGATAGATGTAAACACTAATGGGACGGATAGACCACACCTGAGAGTCTCGAGGACAATGGAAAAACACTAATGGGATGGATTGACCACAACTGAGGGTCCCCAGGACAGAGGTAAACACTAATGGGATGGATAGACCACACCTCAGGGTCTCCAGGACAGAGGTAAAAACCAATTGGATGGATGGATGGAACCTGAGGGTCTCCAGGAACGAGGTAAAACACTGAGAAGATGGATAGATCACACCTGAGCATCCCCAGTACAAAGGAAAACACTAATAGGATTGACCATACCTGAGGATCTCCAAAACAGAGGGAAACACTAAGGGGCTGGATCGCCCACACCTGAGAGTCCTTAGGACAGAGGTAAACACTGAGGGGCTGGATGGGCCACACCTGAGGGTCCTCAGGACAGAGCAGTGAAGGACGGCTGTTGCTGGGATAATTCCATATCTTTGGAGAACAAGAATTCCAGGTAGTTTTCTTCGCTCCAAACAGCGTGGTTATGAACTAGCTTTCACTCCAGGAGGCTTTAAAGCTTCAGATAATATCTGTAGTAATAAAGAAAAACAGGCCAGGTGCCACGGCTCACACCTGTAGTCCCAGCACTTTGGGAGGCCAAGGTGGGAGGACCACTGAGGCCAGGAGTCTGAGACCAGCCTGGACAACGTAGCGAGAGCCCATCTCTGTAAATAATTTCAAAAATGTAAAAAAAAAAAAAAAAAAAGAAAGAAAGAAAAACAAATAGTGGTAACTGACAACTAACATATTGTTACTAACAAAAATTTACACCAAGGTGAAAAAAATCAACTTTTTTTTTTTTTTAATCAAAACGATGCCTCAGTCTAGGAAGAGGTGCTTCCTCTCTGGAAGCAGCTGAACACCTGAGCTGCTGTCCACAGGCGGACGGACTCTCCAGGAGCCCCCAGTGGGCCTCGGCTCCTCCACGTCAGCTCCTCTCTTGTCCCTCTGCTGGTCCACGGGGGCCGCTGCAGCTGGCCAGGTCTCCTGGGAGTCGGAGGGGGCCATGGGTTCCACCCCAGGGCCCACCTCATCAGCACAGTGCTCTCACCATCTGAGCACCAGCCCAGAGGAAAAGGAGAAAGAATGGGTGATGCTGATCCCCCAAGCAAAATGGAAACCCCTCCACCTCCCACCCTCAAAAGCACCCAACAACGGGCCCTGGGCACTGAGGGCCTCACGGGGAGCTGTTTGCATCACAGTGAAATCTACAAAGTTCCCATGGCACGTGAGTGGACGCTTCCTCCACACGGGAATGTCCGGCTGCCCCAAGGAAGGCTGCAATAATGTTGAGATCTTTGAATAGGAGCAAGGGATCAAGGCCGATGGCCTCTCTGAGGGCCTCAGTTTCCATCCATGTGGGCAAGCTCCCCTTTGGGAATCTGGGTTATGGTTCCCGAGATGGGGACAAGAGGCATCCGCTGACGGCTATATTTACAAAAATCCATCAAGTCGACACGCTTGTGAGAGTCAAAGCAGTACAGTAACTCACTGGAGAAGTGAAAATTTCTCATCTTCACACACACAGAGATAACGGGGGCGGCGTGGGGGCAAGCCGAACGCATGCGTGTGCTCTGTGCACTCACCGCCGCCCTCTCCGCGGCTGTCTGGCTCCTGATTTGCATAGTGAGAGGCAGACACCAGGCTTGAATCAGGAGGGGCAGCGCCTTGTCCCAGTGAGTTTGGGTCTTGAGACAGTGAGTAGCAAGGGTGTAGAAAGGAAGGGATTTATCGACAAAGTTATCTGACTTTGATTCTTGAGCTCAATAGGGAGAGTTTGAATAAAAAGGAACACCGATACTAACACACGTTAAATAGACGAACTGCTTCTAATATTTGATAGGCAATAAATGTCGCATTTGTTTATACTTCCTAAGCAAAGTCAAGTCTCGTTCTCAGTTGCTCATTTTCAGAAAGTGAGAAAGTCCAAGATCTCATGGGCCCCTCCCCTTCCTCGGGTTATGGACACCAGGGCCCTGGGGACTGCAAGCTGGGGAGGTCTCCCGGGAGTCAGAGGGGGACATGGAGGAGAGCGGAGGAGAGAGTGCTGTTCTAGGGTGTCATTAGGTGGCTGTCAGATCCCTGCTCCTACATTCAGTAGGGAGTGACCTTCGGAAAATTATGTAGCCTCCCTAAGTCTCAGTTTTCTCACCTGAAAAATGGAGCTGATGGTAATACTCCTCATCCAGTAGAACAGTATGTGTTGACCATGCTTGTGGCATTCTTTTTAAGAGCTGCACAGCACTCCATTGTATGGGCATTAAATCATTTATTTATTGTGTGCAATCTCGGCTCACTGCAACCTCTGCCTCCCAGGTTCAAGCGATTCTCCAGCCTCAGCCCACTGAGTAGCTGGGATTACAGGTGACCACCACCATGCCTGGCTAAATTTTGTATTTTTAGTAGAGACGGGGTTTCACCATGTTGGCCAGGCTGGTCTTGAACTCCTGACTTCTGGTGATCTGCCCACCTCAGTCTCCCAAAGTGCTTGGATTACAGGCCTGAGCCACCACTCCCGGCCCATAGACCTAAATATAAAACACATTTGTTGAACACCATGAAACCAGCAGCTTTGCTGTCACCACCAGAGGGACTCACATGATTTGGAGAATTTTCAAATAGGGATATCGATGCAAACACACAGGAAGGACCAGTAGCTCTGCTCGTCTCCTCAGAGACCAGAACCTGCCCAAACCACCCAGCATCACTGACTGATGACGGTGCCTGAGCTCATGCGAAGAGAAGACACAGCGAGGGGAGGTGCCTGTGGAAAGCAGATGGCCTGAGCTGTGTGTGCACGCCCTAGTCCACGGGTAGATCCATCAGCCACAGTGGAAGCCTCACCGACTCAAGGTGTTAGTGTACAAATTCAGACAACTGTTGGCAGAATACCAAGCACGCAGATAAAGGAGCGGTTCCTGGGAAGCCATGCATAAGAAACAAAAAATGAGCAGAGACGGCTCCGGCTACACGCTGCTTACAGAATTTACAAATTTAGTGCAGGCTGGTTACAAACAAACGAACAAACAGTAACAACTCTCAGCAGAAAAGAATCAGAATCCAGAGTTGAAGAGTCTATAACCTAAAGTATCCAGTGTTCAATGATAAGTTACAAGACAAAAAGAAACAGGCAAGTGTGGGGGGAAACTGTCTTTGTGTCCCCAGATGTCACACTTAGCAAACAAAGACTTCAAAGCAGTTACTTATGTTAAAAGAACTTAAAAAGGGCCAGGCACGGTGGCTCACTCCTGTAATCCCAGCACTTCGGGCCACCGAGGCAGGCGGATCACCTGAGGTCGGGAATTCGAGACCAGCCTGATCAACATGGAGAAACCCCATCTCTACTAAAAATACAAAATTAGCTGGTGTGGTGGTGCATCCCACTATCCGGGAGGCTGAGGCAAGAGAATCGCTTAAACCTGGGAGGCAGAGGTTGCAGTGAGCCAAGATCGTGCCATTGCACTCCAGCCTGGGCAACAAGAGCGAAACTCTGTCTCAAAAAAAGAAAAAGAAAAAGAAAAATGACTTATGAAACATCAAGCACAATATATGTAGAAAGAGAGTCTCAGAAAGAAAGAAGAGGGGAAACAAAGAACTATTTACAGAAATAATGGCTGAAAACTTACCAAATTTGATATAAAACATTAATCTATAGAATCAATGTTTACTTTTAGTAAAATAAAAATCAAGATATCCACTCCTACACACCTGTGTCAAGCTATGAAAAGACAAAGAGTAAATATTGAAAACAGTAAGACAAAAACTTCTCTTCATGTACAAGAGCACCACGATAAAATTAGCCACTGATTTCTGATCAGAAACAATGGTGAAGCCAGGCACGGTGGCTCACGCTTGTAATCCCAGCACTTTGTGAGGCCAAGGCAGGTGGATTACCTGAGGTCAGGAGTTCGAGACTAGCCTGGCCAACATGATGAAACCCTGTCTCTACTAAAAATACAAAAATTAGCTGGGCATGTTTGTGCGTGCCTGTAATATCAGCTCCTCGGAGGCTAAGGCTGGAGAATCGCTTGAACCTGGGAGGCAGAGGTTGCAGTGGGCTGAGATCACACCACTGCACTCCAGCCTGGGCAACAAACAGAGGGAGACTCCGTCTCAAAAAAAAAAAAGAAGAAGAAGAAGAAAGAAACAATGGTGGGAAGGCAATGGGATGGCATAGTCAAAGAATGAAAGAAAAAAAATTGTCAACTAAAAATGCCGTGTCCGGCAAATCTATCCTTTAAAAATAAAGATATTCCCCAATAAACAAAGACAGAAAATTTGCTGCCAGCACTCCTACCTTATAAGAAATACTAAAATAAAGCTTCTGAACTAAAAGAAAGGCTTGTTTCTTCTATTTGAAAATACTGAATTGATTTGTCACAGATATGTGTGTATATGTGTGTGTGTGTGTATGCTGAATATTCCAAAATTTCTCATGCACTTTAATTGATTTTAGAAGCAAAAATATTGCAAATATATAAAAATATTCTTTGAAGGTTTAATTAGTTCAATTTTTATACTTTTTTAGTCCTATGAATTTTAATAATAAAGAATTGATTTAATTTTTGATTAAGTCTAGCTGAAGATAGTAAAGATTAATTGAAACAAAGTTATAAAAATTTATTCAAAACTCACAATGATAAACAAGTATAAAAATGTAAGCTCTCTGTCTGAGTGGATGCAAGGCAAGAACATACTGTGTGGGGAAGTCCCCACAACCACACAGCCGTGACGCCAGAGCTCCACGGAGGCCCAGGGATGATCTCAGAGCCATTCCCAGGCCTGGGCCTCACCCTAGAGCCAAGGTCCCCTGGGGAAAGTGGAGCCTGCCTCAGGGGGCACAGCATCACCTCCTCAACCCCAAGCCTGGCTGCCTTTCTGATGGAGGAGCCAGGTGGGCTCTGGGAGGCCTAGAACCTTCTCACCCCTCCCAGCCCCAAAGGGTGCAGTTAGTTACTGCATCACAGCCCCCAGGGGACCCCTGACCACAACCTCTCCAAGTCACACCGACCGGCAGCCTCCCAGGGGCCGAAGACCCCCACCCCATGGAGCATGGCAGACAGCCCTGGCAGGCCCAGGTGCAGACACGCAGGGAGAGGTGGCCCCACTGTCGTGGTCCCCTACAGCCACCGCCGGGGTGCACTCCCTGTTTGGCAGCCACTGTCTAGTCCCCTGCGCCTGGCCACACACAGGTGGGGAAGAAATCATGACACAGGGTGTTGACTGCGGCCTCTCCCTGCCATGTGACAGCTCCCGAGGTCCCTGCGGCACTCTCCCCAATGCATCCTGACCTCACTATATTTGCACCCCAAACCCTGGCACCCAGGCCCCACGCGGCACTCCCTGTCCTCAGCGCAGTGGTACCCCTGTACCTGGACCTTCAGCCCGTCAACATTCACCCCGTCCTCAGCACAACAGCACCCCTGTATCATGAAACCAAGCCCCCCACCCTGCACCCTGTCCTCAGCAAAGCAGCACCCCTGCCCCGACACCCATTCCCCCACCCTGACCCCTGAAAACGAGCCCCCGGCCCTGCACCCGCTGTCCTCAGCACAGCAGCACCCCTGCCCTGAATCCCAGCCCCGCCACCCTGAACCCCGCCCTCAGCACAGCACCATCCATGCCTTTTGATGCCCGGGCCACCCGCCCTGCCCCACCTGTCCTCAGCACAGCAGCACCCCTGTCCTCTGACACCCAGTCCCAAAACCCGCACCGGTAAGTGTTGGCCCTGAGCCTCCCATGGCCCTGAAGGCCGTATCTTCAGGTGCTCTGTCCGCAGCAGCACGTAACTCCCAGGCTGCCCGGTGGGTTGAGGCCCACGGCAGCCTCACCAAGGGTTCCACCCCAGAAACGACAGGCTTTTAGATGTTTAAAGACCAGAGTGGCAAAAATGCAGGAGAGCAAAGTAGCCTTGCCTAAGAGACCGCTCCACTCCAGCAGCAGAGCTGGAGGAGGAATGAGGGAGGTAGAGCGCAGAAGGGAACTCAGGACTGGGCCATCTGCTGCAGAAACAGCAGGCCCAGGACAGTGGCGACTTCTGGGCTCCCCGGCCCTCTGCTCATGCTTGCTCAGAAAGGGCTGTCCTGTTTACTTCGGGAGGCGGCTTTGGCGGGAGGGGCAGCCACATTGGGACCTCCGGCTGTGGCTGGGTTCTGGGCACCAAGCCCGCTGCCAGGCCGGCGCCTGCTCCTGCAGACCTGCCATGCCAATGCTCTCCAAGCTGAGGCCGGGTGGCCTGCGACGCTCAGCCCGATGCCCATCACAAGAAAAAAAGCAATTATCAGGGCGCTGTGCGCACGGGGCCACCTTCGCGCTGGCCCGTGAGGGCACCCTCAGCCGGCGGGACTTTCACTTTTGCCGAGCAGCGGCAGCAGCACCGGATGTCTCCTTCGCCCCTGCGCACCGGGGTCGCGCAGAAAGGACGGTGGTTCTGACCGGCGGCTCTGCGGGGCGGGGTGCGGCGCTCAGCCCGGTCGCCCCATGCCTGCCCAGGGCTTGGTGGACCCGAGGGACACTGTGGGCATGGCACCTCTGGGCAGGGACTCCTGGGCAATCTGAGCTGCTGTACGCCCTGCTCTGGTCTCTGCCCGCCAGGCGAGCGCCGTGCGCGAGAGGAGCAGGCAGGGGAAGCACGCAGGCGGCATGTAGGAGAGGAGCGCGGACTGTGCAAGGGCAGGAGCGGGGCGGGGGCCAGGCAGGGGCAGGGGCAGGGGCAGGAGCGGGGAGCGGGCCAGGCAGGGATAGGAGCGGGTCGCCACAGGAGCGGGGCGCGGGTAAGAGCAAAGCCGGCCGGCAGAGGTAGGAGCAGGGCGCAGGCGGGAGCAGGGCGTGGTGCTGGGAAGGCCACCACTAACCTGGGTCCGCTCGCCTTTGCACGCACAGCCCCTCCTTTCACCAGGTGCACCTGCCTGCAGTCCCTGTGCTTTGCCCTTTTTGCTGCACAAAGACAGCAGGGAAGCCGTGCAGGATGCAAGATCTGAGACTGCTGGGGTTGTGACCCGAGGACTCTGAGAACACCACCCTCCCCGCCAACCGCCCATCCCTACCCCAGCTCCAGGCTCCCCCCACCAGAGCGCATCCCCAGCCATTTCTCCTGAGGCAGAGGCTCGGTGGAGCTCAGCCTCTGTGGGGCTAGAGGCCAGAGGAAGGGAAGATATGGGCAGGGAAGGGGGCAGGAGAGCGTTTGTCAGCATCCAGGGCAGTGCAGAGGGTGGGGGTCCTGGAGGCCAGGCCTGGGAAAAATGTAACCAGGTTTGGAAAAACAAGAATTAGGGAGGCGGGAGGCAGAGGCGTTGGTCAACAGGCACCAGGTGGCTGAGGCAGTCCAGAGGGGTGAGGGGCAGGCCTGTCAATGTCAGGCCCCGAGCTGGTAAGTTTCAACTCCCTACTGTTCTCTGGGAGGTTTCCGGAGAAACCAACTCCAGTGAGACAAATGTAACTTTCTTTAAGACTGGGAGGATCAATTTCTACATTTATTCAAAGAAGCAGTAAACATCTACAGGAGAATTTGGCTACTTTCCACCTCATTGGGGGAGTGGGGGGGGCCCTTCCCTCCTCTACACAGGAAAGCACGGGGTGTGGGACTAGGAGAGCCAGCATGGAGCCCCAGAGAATCCAGTTTTCCCCCGAAGAAATGATGCCCAGCATCACATTCACCTCTAAAAAGGGGAAGCCATGGACCTGTCAGGGGGGTCCTGGGGTGAGGTAGGAGGTGGGTTCTGGGCTTCTGTGGGGAAAGTCCCTGTTCTTTCCATATCCCCCAGCTGCCTCTTGAGGTCTGGCCTGCACCCAGCCACAGACAGATGGAGGAAGGGAAGCCCATGGGGCCATGGGGTGGGAGGGCCCAGGAAGCTGGGCCTGGGGTGCCCCGGGGCCAGCCCCTCCTCTTTCTCCTGCATCCTGGCTGAGCTCAGGGCTGAATCAGTGATCTGCACATCACTGCAGATCTGAAAAAGTGAAGTCACCCTGGCAGGCAGGAGGAGGAGTTGCAAAGACGGGCTGGCTCGGACTTGGCCAACCGCTATGTCCAGAGCCGGCCTGCTGAGGGGTAGGTGGTGTGGGCAGCCAGCCCACGAGAGGTACCCTAAACCACTGGACCCTCTGCTGCCTGCCACCCACCCCCGCCAGGCTTTACAGAGCTGGAGTTGTCTCCCTTGGGTGCATACAAGCCCCGTTTCTGTTGCTAGCAGCTACACAGTCTTCACACTCAGGCCTATGCCCAGGGAAGGGACATTGTAGGTAGGGAGGGGCTGAGGGGGACTTTTGGCAACAGACAAGCTCCTGTGACTGTCCCCTAGGAGAATGAAGAGAGAAGGGGGTGGGCCTGAATAGCACCCCCCCGCCCCCACCTCCCAGGAACCTCTCTGGCCACATCTTGGCTGCTGCACAGACTGGATGCCTGGCTCAGCTCTGTGACCACCTCAGGGCCCATCTGAGCCTGCACTCCTGCCTGGCATCCCAGGCACTTTTCCCTTCTCCCCATCCCCACCCTTGGAGGGCTTGAGTGGACACCTGACACCAGGGGGAGATATGGTCTTCTCCTGGGGAAAAGGTCTGGGGAGCCTCATGTGGGTGCACCCCTGTACACTTGCATACGTGCACACATGCATACACCTGTGTTCACATGTGTGGACACACATGCACACGGATGCACACCTTCCTCCACATGCACACCCAGGGACCTGACCAGAGGATCACCCAGTAGAGAACAGAGGTGAAGCCTGCGGCCTGATGGCCTCAGCAACTATAGGGAGAGGAGACAGCCCTGCCTGGGTGTGGGCTCAGGATCCAAAACATCAGGCAGCAAAAAGGAGCTCCTCGCCCGCACAAGGGAAATGGGGCCACCCCGAGGTCCCACAAGGAGAGGTGGAGGCAGAGTGGGTTGCAAGGCAGGCCAGGCCCTGGCCCTGGCTTCTCTCAGTTCCTCGGGTGAGGAGGGCCTGCAGGGGGCTCTGCCTCCCTTTCTTGCCTTCCCTTAGTCGACTCTCTCTGAGCCTCAGTTTCCCCAGCTGGAAACATCTCCATCTCAGAAGGAGGGGTTGTAAGAATTAAAGAGGAGAGAAACACGAAGGGTGGCTCAACAGTCAGCAGGTTTATTTCAAACCTGGGAGGGACTTCTGTCCAAGTCAAGTCAGAAGCCGCACTCCCCTACATGCTAAAAGTTTTTAAGGATTCAGGGTGGGAGAGTTTATCAGAGGCTTGCACTGCTCCTATGTCTCTTTGTTGTGCTTATCTGGGAGGGAGAATTGTGTGTCTGTTCCCATACATCTTGCTTCAGCCGCAGGCATACCTCCCCTCCCCCGAGTCTGCTTTAGCTTCCCTATCTTAGCGCATCTGAAGGGAAAGGACTGTGATTATTAAGGCCCACTGGTTTACTGGGGCCCATTGTATGAGGGTGAAGTTTGGTAGTTACTTGAGAGACTTTCCCCCCTCCCCCCACCTCCCTCTGTGCCCAAGCTGTCTTATCTTTTACTGCCTGCTCTTTCTGGCTGCTGCTTGTAGTTAGAAGTTAAGTGATATCCTTGAAATGCATGGGGCTAGAAAGGGAGCTGGAACTTAAAGTGGCGGTGTTTGTCTGAGATGACGGTGCTCCTGCTCTGTCACCCCTGCCTTTTCATGCCCAGGAACCCTGCCCTGCACCACCTCTGTCCTCTGCACTGCAGCAACTCTGCCCCTGACACTCAACACCACACCCTGCACCTCATCCTCAGTGCAGCAGCACCCCTGGCCCCGACACCCAGACCCAAAACTTGCACCCATAAGTGTTGTCCCTGACCTCCCATGGCCCCAAAGCCACATCTTCAGGTGCCCTCCCAGACAGTGGCACAGAACTCCCAGGCTGCAGGCTGGGTCTCAGCCCACTGCAGCCCCTCCAAGGGAGCCACCCCAGAAACCACAGGCTTTTAGGTTTTTAAAGACCAGGTGGCAAAAACGCAGGAGAGCAAAGCAACCTTGCCAAAGAGAGCCTCTGCACTCCTCTGCCAGCCAAAGCGGCAGAGCTGGAGGAGGAATGAGGAAGGTAGAGCTCAAAAAGGAAACCAGGAATCGCCACACTGTCTTCCACAATGGTTGAACTAATTTACACTCCTACCAACAGTGTAAAAGCGTTCCTATTTCTCCACATCCTCAAGGATCTAGAAATAGAAATACAATTTGACCCAGCAATCCCATTACTGGGTATATACCCAAAGGATTATCAATCATTCTACTATAAAGACACAAGCACACATATGTTTATTGCGGCACTGTTCCACAATAGCAAAGACTTGGAACCAACCCAAATGTCCATCAATGATAGACTGGATAAAGAAAACGTGGCACATATACACTATGCAGCCATAAAAAAGGATGAGTTCCTGTCCTTTGCAGGGACATGGATGAAGCTGGGAAACATCATTCTCAGCAAACTAACACAGGAACAGAAAACCAAACACCACATGTTCTCACTCATAAGTGGGAGTTGAACAATGAGAATACATGGACACAGGGAGGGGAACATCACACACTGGGGCCTGTCGGGGGCTGGGGGGAGGGATAGCATTAGGAGAAATACCTAATGTTGATGACGGGTTGATGGGTGCAACAAACCACCGTGGCCCATGTATACCTGTTAACCAACCTGCACTTTCTGCACATGTACCCCAGAACTTAAAGCATAATAAAATAAAATTTTAAAAAAGGAAACCAGGACTGCACCGTCTCCTTCAAAAACAGCAGACCCGTGCCACTCGTGGCTTCCTGGGCTCCCCGCCCCTTCGCCCACACCTGCCCCGAAAGAGCTGCCCTGTTTGCTTCAGGACACCGGCTTTGGTGCTTGGGACAACCACGCTGGGAACTCCCACTGCGCTAGGTTCTGGGCACCAGCCCCGCTGCTCGCGGGCGCCTGCTCCTGTCAGAGACCTGCCCGCCGCCCGCCACCAGTGCGCTCCCAGCCGAGGCCAGGTGGCCAGTCACACGCAGCCCGCTGCCCAGCGCAAGCAGAAAGGTGCTTCTCAAAGCTCGGCTCCGCCGCTTGGCACTCTGGGCCACCTTTGCACTGGCCGATGCGGGCGCCTGCAGCCAGCAAGACTTACTTTTGTGAGCAGCCTCGGCGCACCGGATGTCGTCTTTGCCATCCCCAGTGGGCGCTGGGGCCGCGTCTGGAGAGACGGTGGCTCTGGCCGGCGGGGTGCGGCGCTAAGCCCGACCGCCCCATGCCTGCCCGGGTGAGGCCGACGTGGGCGTGGCACCTCGGGGCAGGGACTCCAGAGCACTCAGCGGCTGCGCGCCCTGCTCTGTCACTGTTGGGCCAGGCGGGTGCCGGCTGCTGGGGAGGAGCCGGAAGGGGCAGCGCAAGGCGGCGGGTGGGAGTGGGCACGGGCCGGGCTTAGCTAGGAGCGGGGCACGGATAGGAGTGGCGCACGCGTAGGAGCGGGGCGCGGGCAGGTACAGAACGCGGGCAGCAGGACGCGGAGGGGAGCGGGGCGCGGGCTGGCAGAGGTCAGAACAGGACGCGGTAGCAGCGGGGCTCCACTAAGCAGGGATAGGAGCGTGGGGCGGTAGCTGCCAGACAGGCGGGTGCTGGAAAGGCCACCAGTATCCTGGGTCAGCGCACCTCTGCAAGCACAGCCGCTCCTTTCAAACAGGTGCGCCCTTTCCACTGCACAGCGGGCAAGGAAACCAGGTGGGGATGCAAGATCTGGTACTGCTGGGGTTGCTGGGGTTGCGACCCAGAGGACTCTGAGAACAACACCCTCTCCCCAACCCCCCATCCCTACCCCAGCTCCAGGCTCCCCAGCAGCGCACCCCCGCAGCGCACCCCCAGCCATTTCTCAGAGGCAGAGGCACAGTGTAGCTGGGCCTCTGCATGGCCAAAGGTGGGAGGAGGGGAGGAGCTGGTTAGGGAGAGGGAAGGAGAGCCTTCGTCAGCATCCAGGGCAGTGCAGAGGGTGGGGGTCCTGGAGGCCTGGCCAAGAAGAAATGTAACCAGTTGTGGAAAAACAGGAGTTAGAGAGCAGGGAGGCAAAGGCGTTGGTCAACAGACACCAGGTGGCTGAGGCACTCCGGAGGGCTGAGGGGCAGGCCTCTCACTATCAGGCCCAGAGCTCTAGCTCGTAAGTTTCAGCTCCCTACTGTTCTCTGGGAGGTTTCCCAAGAAAACTCCACTGAGACAAATGTAACTTTCTTTAAGGCTGGGATGATCAATTTCTATGTTTATTCAAAGCCGCAGCAAACTTTTTCTATGGGAGAATTTGGCCACTTTCAGCCTCATGGGGGGGAGTGTGGAGGGGGTGGCCTTCCCCCTTCTACACAGGGGAAGTGGGATGTGGGACTGGCAGCCTAGGAGAGCCAGCAGCAGAGAGGAACTGGAGCCCCAAAGAATCCAATTTTCCCCCAAATAAATGATGCCCAGGATCACATTCACCTCTAATAACGGGAAGCCACTGGACCTGTGCTGGGGGGTCCTGGGGTGAGCCTACGACCCGGGGCTTATACCCAGCGCCTAGGACCCGGGGCTTACACCCAGAGCCTAGGACCCGGGGCTTACACCCACAGCCTAGGACCCGGGGCTTACACCCAGAGCCTAGGACCCGGGGCTTACACCCAGAGCCTAGGACCCGGGGCTTACACCCAGAGCCTAGGACCCGGGGCTTACACCCAGAGCCTAGGACCCGGGGCTTACACCCAGAGCCTAGGACTTGGGGCTTATACCCAGAGCCTAGGACCCGGGGCTTATACCCAGAGCCTAGGACCCGGGGCTTATACCCAGAGCCTAGGATTTGGGGCTTATACCCAGAGCCTAGGACTTGGGGCTTATACACAGAGCCAAGGACGTGGGGCTTATACCCAGAGCCTAGGAAACAAAGCTTATACCCAGAGCCTAGGATATGGAGCTTATACCCAAAGACTAAAACACAAGGCTTATACCCAGAGCCGAGGACACAAGGCTTATATCCAGAGTTTAGGACCCGGGTCTTATACACGGAGCCTAGGACATTGGGCTTGTACTCAGAGCCTAGGACATGTAGCTTATATCCAGAGCCTAGGAAACACAAGTCTTATACCCAGAAAAAACGTGAGGCTTATACCCAGAGCCTAGGACCCAGGGCTTATACACTACTTATATTCTACTTTTAGTAGAGACGGAGTTTCACCATGTTGGCCAGGCTGGTCTTGAACTCCTGACCTCACATGATCCACCCGCCTCGGCCTCCCAAATGCTGGGATTACAGGCATGAGCCACTGTGCCTGGCCTAGAACTGCAAAATTTAATTCAAGAAAATATAGGTCCTATGAAAGATTTAAGTTTTATAAAGCTAAAATCTAGTGTTTTCTGGTAAATTGCACTTTAGCCAAAACTCTCCCAATGCTTCTAAAATAATACTAAAAGGGGCATCTGGTAATACAGGAGCAATTTTTTTTTTTTTTTTTTTTTTTGAGATGGAGTCTCACTCTGTCGCCCAGGCTGGAGTGCAGTGGCATGATCTCAGCTCACTGCAACCTCTGCCACCCGGGTTTAAGTGATTCTTCTGCCTCAGCCTCCTGAGTAGCTGGGATTACAGGTGCCCACCACCATGGCCAACTAATCTTTGTATTTTTAGTAGAGACGAGGTTTCACCATGCTGGCCAGGCTGGTCTCAAACTCCTGACCTCAGGTGATCCACCAGCCTCAGCCTCCCAAAATGCTGGGATTACAGGCATGAGCCACTGTACCCAGCCATACAGTACAGAAGCAAGTTTAAAAATTAAATATTTATTTGAATAACAAGCTTACATTGGAGCTGCAATGTTGGCAATGCAGATTTTGAACACGGATCACAAAAAGCATGCATAAAATCCTACTGGCCCAGAGAACAAACCACTGCTCAGAATTAGGCTAAATAGCTGCTGCTTTTAAGAAAATAAAAGGCCTGAAATCAATATACAACATTTTTTAAAATGTATTGGCTGGGCGGGTGCCTGTAATTCCAGCACTTTGGGAGGCCAAGATAGGAGGATCACCTGAGGTCAGGAGTTCAAGACCAGCCTGGCCAACATGGTGAAACTCCGTCTCTACTAAAAATAAAAAATTAGCTGGGTGTGGTGACACATGCCTGTAGTCCCAGCTCAGCAATTAAAGGCTAACGTGAAAGCCAGAGGCCCTTCTGTTGGCGTTTAAAGAGGCTCTCATCTGCACCAGGAGGACGGAGAAAGCAGAAACCAGGCTCAGGATCCACAGAAGATGCAACTCCAACCAAGGCAGGTCTACTGTGCCAAGGCCAGGGCCCTGGTTAGAAGAGAGCGCAACCCTGTGGCCTGACACAGTGGCTCACGCTTGTAATCTCAGCACTTTGGGAGGCCGAGGTGGGTGGATCACGAGGTCAAGAGTTAGAAACCAGCCTGGCCAACGTGGTGAATCCCTGTATCTACTAAAAATATGAAAAACCAGCCTGGCCAACATGGTGAATCCCTGTCTCTATTAAAAATATGAAAATTAGCCAAGTGTGGTGGCATGCACCTGTAATCCCAGCTACTCAGGAGGCTGAGGCAGGAGAATCACTTGAATCCGGGAGGCGGAGGTTCCAGTGAGCTGAGATCGCACCACTGTACTCCAGCCTGGGTGACATAGCGACACTCTGTCCCCCTACCCCTTGCCAAAAAAAAAAAAAAAAGGAGAGAGAGAGAGAGAGAGTACAACTCTGACACACAGGCTGGGAACATTTAGGTTGAGGTCTCTACAAACGATGGACTCTCTATATCCCCACTGAGCCCTCTGAGCTGGCAGGAATGCCGCCCCTGCCGCTAAGGGCTGGCACTCCCTCCCTCCTTGCCTGGACACTGTGCAGAGGCCTCTCCCCAGCCAGACAACACGTCCCCGGCTCAGGCTCTGCCTTGTCTGTCCTCCTGGTCATTAGGCCAATGACTAGGATGAAGTCACAACAGCAACCAGCTGTGGGCATGTTGAGCCTGGTGAGGAAAGATGGGGCTATACCCCAAAGGAGCTGTAGGACCTACCCAGCACAGGTCTGCAGGAACATGGGACTGGAATCCAAGGGTGTCTGGTCAAGGAGGTCAGAAGGTAAGGTTAGATAAGGGAGTATTTATCAACTTGGGAGAACTCTCCCAGGATACAGGATTTAATACTCTCACCAGTGTCCCAGGAGATGGTGCAAACTCACTGCAGATGATTCCTAGAAACATGGGAAAAAGCAGCGGCCAGCATGAAGTGAGAACTGCTGGAGCAGACGGTAGGCCCTTGGCACTTAGGCTCAGAGAGGTGGGCCCACCAGAGGAGGTGTGCCATGTAAGGCTGGAACTCCCAGAGGCCTGTGCTGCACACAGGACCCAGATGATAACCCACTTACCAAGGCTGTTAGGAATGGATCACTTAGAAATTCAGTGATGGCTCCTCTCTGGGGACCAGGGCTGGCAGGAGGAATTGCCACTGTACAACCAGGCTTACTCACAGAAATGATCCCAAGGACCTTGGAAAACTAGAAGCCATCTACCTTAGTGCTGCTGTAACAAAATGCCATAGGCTGGGTGGCTTATAAAGAAATTCATTTCTAACAGTTCTGGAGGCCGGGAAGTCCAAGATCAAAGTAGATTTGGTGTCTGCTGAAGGCCCACTTTCTGGCTCATAGATGGTGCCTTCTCACTGTGTCCTCAGAGTGTAGAACAGGCAGGGCAGCATGCTGGGACATCTTTTCATTAGGGCACTAGTCCCATTCATGAGGCTCCACCTTCATGACCCAATCGCCTTCCAAAGGCCCCACCTCCTGATACCCTCACATTGGTGGTCAGGTTTCAACGTATGAATTTTGGGGAGACACCAACATTCAGACCATGGCACCATCAGAAGGCAGGAAGATGTCATTGTGGTGAGTGGTAGGGTAGAGAGGAGGCCAGGGGAGCCTGACCTACAGAGACCTGTGGAGTGAATAGAACTTGGCACCCCTAGGGGCCACATAGATATGGAGCCAACAAGGATACTACTGTATCTGCATAATCAAAAACAGCACGGATGGATGGCTGGGAAGCTAAGGACAGTCACCTTAATTTAAAAAAAAGTAAAAATCCCTTCCCCAATGTCCATCCCTGAGCAAGTTCTTGGACGTGGAAACTTGATTGACAGAAAGCCTATGTCCCCAGGAGGAAGAACCCCATGACTGCACACAGCGAGGATTCCTCCATTTCTTCCCAACGTTACTCAGGTAACTGTGTACTGGGGAAGGGGAAACCCAGAGCATTAGCATGGCCCCTCCTAAGGGAGCCAGGTGATAAATGGAGTTCTAGCTTAGGTCCAGCTCACCCACAGTCCAAGGTCCCACCCTCAGTGGTCTCCAAATGTATAACTGTAATTGACATACTTAGTAATTGACACAAGCCCTTTATCCTGTGAGGTAAGAGCTATCATAGTGGGGAAATCCAAGTGGAAGCCTCTGAAACTCCCCCTTCTGGCCAAGATAGCAAATAAAAAGCAGTATTACATCCCAGGGGATGGCAAAGATGAGTGCTGTTCTTAAAGATCTAAAAGATGCATGGATGATCATTCCTATTATAGTCCCATTTAATTCACCAGTCTGTTCCCCATGGAAACTACCAGAAGTGCAACAACTAGTAGCCCCATTGCAGCTTCCTTGCTAGGTGTGGTATTGCTGCTAGAGAAGATTAATATGAATTCAGGGAGCCAGGCGAAATGGCTCATGCCTACAGTCCCAGCATTTGGGAGGCTGAGGTTGGTGGATCATTTGAAGTCAGGAGTTTGAGACCAGCTTGGTCAACATGATAAACCCCATCTCTATTAAAAATAACAAAAACTGGCCAGGCATGGTGGCTCACGCCTGTAATCCCAGCTACTCAGGAGGCTGAGGCAGGAGAATCACTTCACCTGGGAGGCAAAGGTTGTGTGAGCCAAGATCACGCCCCACTGCACTCCAGCCTGGGTGACAGAGTGAGATTCCATCTCAAAAAAAATTGAATTCAGGTACATGTTATGAAGCCATTAATCTGGTGAATATGCTCATTTCCATCTCAATCAAGAAAGAGAATCAGAAAGAGTTCACATTCACATGGAAGGGACAACAGTATACATTCACAACTTTCATCAGAGCTCTGTCATGACCATCCAAAAAGATCTGGATCATCGGACATCCTGCAGAACATCACACTGATCCAGTACACTGATGTCATCATGCTGATCAGGCAGATAGACAAGCGGTACCTAGCATGCTGGAAGCCAAAGGGTGAGAGAGAAAACTACTGAAGATCGAGAGGCCACCACATTAGTAAAATTTCTAGGAATTCAATGGTCTGGTGAATACTGGGACATACCTACAAAGCAAAGATAAATTATTTAATCTTTTACCTCCCACCATGAAGAAGAAATCCTAACACCTGATAGGTAGATCTGGAGGCAACATATTTCATAGCTAGGAATACTGCTCCAACCCCATATGCCAATGCCATGAAAGGCTGCCAAGGCCCAGAGCAAGAAAGGATTCTGCAAAAGTGTCAGGCTGCTGGAGCCATCAACCCCATCCCTTGAGCCATACAGTACTCAGCAGACCCTATGGTGTCAGCCATGTGAGTGATAGGAAGAGATGCCAGTGAAGAATGCAAGCTCCAGTGGGAGAATCCCTTAGGATCTGGAGACTCCCTAAAATTTGGGAGTGAATTACAATTAGCAGCAAAGGATTATTCACCTTCTGAAAACAGGTCCTGGTGTGCCTGTGCTACTAGCCCTCATGTGACACACAACACCCAGACATGAGACACCGAGTGATCAGGCAGCTGGAACTGCCTGTCATGAGCTGGGTCTGCCAGACCCAATCAATCAATCTAACATGGTGGGGACATCCCGGGTCAAACATGAGCACGCCTTGAGGACACCAGCAAGCTACACGGCAGGTAGCCCAGACCCCACATCATCCCCACTGAGGCACCAGCAGCCTCAGCTCATTCGAATGGCCACATGGGGGACTCCCATGTCACCAGCTGAAGAGGATAAAACTGAGATTGGTTTGGCTTGGCATGTGGCAGATGACTACATTGGACCCTCTCCTGAAAGATCAGGAATAGAGACCAGTTCCAGATAGAGATTTGCCTTTCCTGCCCATGGATTCTCTGCTCAAGGGTCTATGAAGTGTTTGATTCACTGGCACAGGATGCCACATAACATCACTTCTGACTCAACAGCCCATCTTATAGCAATAACCCTGCAGGGGCGGGAGTGGGCTGGCCCATGACCAGGGATCCACTGTTAATACTGCACACCACATGACCCCAAAGCTGCTGGCCCGATGAAGACAGAGCTGCAATGCCAGTTCAGAAACAAGCCTTCACAAGGTTTCAGTACCATCCTCCAAGATGCAGTATCACTTCAAATCAAATACTATATATGGCACTGCATCCCCACTGGGCAGAATACACGGGTCTAGGAACCTAGGGGTAGAAGCTTAAGTGGCCCAGTGGCCCACTTAAAGAATTTGTGCTTTCTGTCCCTCAACTCTGGGTTCCGTAAGTTTAGAGGTCCTTGTTCCCAAAGAGAAAATACTTCTGCAAGGTGGCACAGCCAGAGTCCCTCAAAGTCGAAGCACAGTCGCCTCCTTGGCACTCTGGGTTTCTTGTCCTTGCATCAAGGGGCCAGCGGTAAGAAGAGGAGTCGCATCCTGGCATCCAGAAGCGGTTGCATATGGGGTCTGGGAGGAATATGTTTGACATCCAGGCGATGCCCTTGGGTGCTTCTTGGTACTCCCTTGCCCAATTTTGATGTTAAGTTGACAAGTGTAGCAACCCTGGCCTGAAAATAGCATGGTGACCAGGGTCTCAGTTCCCTCAGGTAATCAGGAGACCAACAGAGATGTCGTCTGAGAGTGAGGTGGTCTATAATGGGTAGTGGAGTGGGCAGGTGAGGATGTCAGTTGCAGCCCTGAGACCCCAAAACTTCAGAGGTAGGGGTTGGAGTTCATCCCAGTAATTTTCCTCTTCAAGTTGCCTCCTAGAAGAGCTTCTCGCAGAACTTACATGAAGTGGATCCAAGAGGTGACTGTGAAGGACTCTGTAAGGTGCCACCCAGGTCCCTCTGCAGGAATAAAGGACTTATTACCCCAGCTGCTGGGAGTACTGCCTGCAGAAAGTTGACAGCCCTCATGCTCCATTCCCAGGGAGGCCTACATCCAATGACCCAATGTGGGGTCCCTGGCACCAATGTGGGGTGCCAAGTACCCGAACTTTTGCTTTGACTCGGGACAGTCCTGAGGGGTCATCCCATCCTCAGGCCAGCTGAGGCTTCTGCTGAGATAGCATCATAGGTCAGCCTCCCCCTTTGCCCAGCCTGCTCCTCCCCGCTCCCTTCCAATGGTATTGACTTCAGGAGCACTGGCCAATGAGCCCCAACACACTTCATCTCAGAGACCTGCCCAAGCTCATACTTAGACCTGAAGTGGCAGAAACAAACCTCAGACTCACTGTGGCTGTCCAAAGCCCAGAGATTGGAAAGGTTAGCACGTGCAGGACTCAGAAGTGAGAAACAGAGCAGATACCTTGGATGCAATGAAGATTTGAACTCCATACAAGGAATGATAGTCTAATTACCTTAGGCTGCTTGTGATGTTGCTCAGTTTCTGCTCACAGGATGGGGAAGGGGAGATATTCCAGAAGAACAGAGCAGCCCCCTCACCCATCTCAGGCTTGGGGGTCATTCAGATCTGAGAATGTCAGAGCTTTCACTTCCTAGCTGTGGGGCCTTGAGCAAACCGCTCCACCTCCCTGAGCCTCAGTTTCCCCCACTCCAAACTGGAGCCAATAAGATGCACCTGTGATTCTTGCGTAGATCACATTTGCAGGGCTCCTCGTGCACAGAAATCTCTCGGTAAATGTGGCCATTATTATTCAAGAGCCGAGGAGCTAATTAGCTTCACTGCTGATGCAACAGGAATTCACAGTGCGGGGACTGGCCTGCCGAAGGGAGGACGAGGCTGGAACATCTCATTTTGACAAATGGCTTTTGTTTACCCACGACTGGCAAACAAACGCTCCACGACGTGCGGCTAATCACCTAAAAATAACAGCACATATGTTCCCTCTGAGGAGTGTTCCTTGCTAACAAGCACAGCGGCCGTGGGCTGCTGGGGGTGGGGTGGGGACACCCTGCACTCCTCTGAGGCAAATTCAAAAGCCTCTCTCTCTGCCCCCAGCCGTCCTCCTGCACCCCACATCCATCCTGCTGCCCAGCCCTGTCCGCAGCGCCACACACAAACCACCCTCCCTTGTGTCTCCCTGCACCACCCCCCACCAAGTCCCCGGCTGCTGTGCTGGGGCAGGGCTGGTGCCACAGTCCCCTTTCTGCCCTCCTGGCCTTGCTCCATCCCCTCCACCCTGCCCCGGAGGCACCCTTCTAAAACACACACATCTGACTAGTCACTCCCCTTCTTGGAACTCCTCATGGCTCTCTCTGCCTCCAGGCCATGCCGGTCTCATTTCCCACACTACATGGGCCTGACTATCAGTGTGCACCAGGGCCTTCCAGCCTCCAGGCCTCTGCAGATGTTGGAGTAGGGCTGCTTCTCTACCTACACACCTCCTCTGCCCTCGGGCAGGTGCTCAGCTCTAAATGACATCCAAGCTGATGACGAATGAATGAGTTCTCTCTGAACTCCTGCCCACTGCATGTCTCCTCCTGGTTGTCCAGTGGGCATCTCTGAACCGTGTCCAAAAGCACACGCAAACACACACACACAATCCTCCTGCAATCTTATCGGTTGCTCAGGCCAAAAGCCTTGGAGTCCTCCATGTCCCCCACCTGCCATCCCACAACCAACCCATTAGCAAATGGGGTCAGCTGTCTTCAAAACACATGCAGACTCCCCTCAGCACCTGCACACTGCCTCCTGGAGCCTCCATCCCACCTCTCACCTCCAGCGGCTCCCCCCCTTGCCAGCCACAGTCCGCTCACGCCCCAGGACCCTTTAAAACTGGTCACGCCCCGTCTCTCCTGCACCCCAAAGCTTCCAGTGACTTCCATCTCAGAGTAAAGCCAAAGTCTTGTAGAGGCCACAGCTAGGGTGGCCAGATTTCACAAACAAAAAGGCAGGATGCCCGTTAGGTTTGAATTTCAAGGACATGTTAAGTGAAATAAGCCAGACACAGAAAAACAAATACCACGTGATCTCACATGGACAGGCGAACTCTGAAAAAGCCAAATTCATTGAAGCAGAAAGTAGAATGGTGGTTACCAGAGGCTGGCGGACAGGGAGTGAGAATTGGGGAGCTGTGGGTCAAAGGACACAAAGTTCCAGTTAGGGAGAATAAGTGAAAGAGCCCCATGGTACGTCGTGGCAGCATAGCTAATGACAGTGTACTGCATTCTTGAAAATCGCTAAGAGTAGATTTTAAGTGTTCTCACCACAGGAAAAAAAAAAACAAGGTGGAAAGTAATGCATATGTTAATTAGCTCAATTTAGTCATCCCATAAATGTATACATATTCCAAAACATCATATTGTAGGCCATAAGAATATGCAATTTTTATTGGTCAATTAAAACAATGTTTTAAAAAGAAGAAAGGGATATTAGGAACTAAAAATCTTTTTTTGAATTTCAGAGAAAGGCAAACTTGCGTGGGACACACTTATACTAAAAAATTATTTGCTGCTTATCTGAAATTCCAGTGTAACTGGGCATCCTGTAATTTTCCAGCAGCCAGACCTACAAAGCCTGAGATGACCGGGGACACCCCCGCACCCCATCGTACCTCACGCCCCCCACCTCCCCTGCAGCTTGGGTGTCCTGCTTTTCCCGGAGCCCAGAGAGAGTTCCTCCACTTCAGGAATGCGTCCTGCCATCCCCTCTGCTCCTGGTATCCCTGTGGGCCACTCCCCTGGCCCCTGCAGATCTCTGCCCAGATGGCATCTCTCGCCGAGGCCTGTCCTGACCAGCCGGTACAAAACAGCAGCCCTGTCACCGCCCCTTCACCGCTCGGTGGCTTCTATGACCTTCCACCAGAAAGCCGTCTCCTTGAAGGCAGAGTTTCATCTCTGCTGTCCACAGCTGTGTCCCCACACTGACGACAGTGCCTGGCATGTAGTAGTTAGTCAATAAATATTTTTCAAATAAATGATGTCCCTACTGCCCCACCCCAGGCCACCGGCAAACTCCTTAAACCACAAGGACAGCTTTGTGGCCTCTCCTCTGCAAAGCTCTCCCTGACCACACGCGTGTCCTCCAGGCAGGAAGAGCCTCCTCACTAGCCGAAGAGTCCCTCCGAGGTAGCGATGGTGTCCCATCCACCTTTCTATCCCCAGTGCCACATCGATGCCAATGTGAGAGGTGCTCGGTACACGTGTGAGTGGATGACTCAATGAATGAATATCTGAGTGAGTGAAGAAATGAAGAGCATAGGAACCAAGCAAAACTATCTCTAAGGCTCCCTGCGGGAGCTGGTTTGATTCCTGTTGCCCCTAAAGGAAGACTTTTGATATTTATCCCCACTCGGTAAAGAACAATGAAGAAGGAGGAGATGGTGAAGATGCCCTTCGCTCCCCTCTAGTCCACATTCTACAAAATGTGTCCACCTCATTCCATGATCCTCTCACCAGCCTGAGAGGCAGCTATCATCACCCCATAGTTGAGATGAAGAAACACAGAGGCCCAAAGACAGGAAGCGAGTTGCTGGAGCCACAGGGAGAGGGGAGAGGAGATGCAGCTGGGACCCGGCCCCAGCCCATCCAGCCCTGAAGGCCTCCATGCCTCGCTGCCTCTCCAGCCTGCCCAGGGTTTCGGTGACTCAGTGACCCATGCAGGCCCCCCAAGCAGGGAGGAGGGAGAAGTCAGGCTGCACAAGAGGACAGGGACCCTGCCCAAGGCAGAGCTGCTTTGCCCCCTCTTCCCCTCAGGCATCCCGGGGACCCGGCCTGGTTGTCCACCCACATATGCACGGCTCTCTCTGTCTTGGACCACGGTACCATCACCCACACCAGCTTCTGAGCCAGCCCTCCATAGGCGTCTGCCCTGAATCATTGCATTTGTCTCAGAAGATTTTTGATATTAATGTCATTCTGCACTAATGAGTCCAGCCCACTTGGTCCCAGCTGGAGCTTCCATTGTCTGCTGATTAATTGGTACAGAACTCTGGGGGGTAGCAGGGGGAGGTGGGGGAAGAGAAAGGGAGAGAAGAGCCATTTCCAGAGCAGAAATAGGTTTCCTCTGCTCACCAGTGACTATTCTCCTTATCCTGAAGCCTTCAGCTAGGTATGGGGCAGAAACTAGAGGGCCACTCCCTCCTCAGCCACTTAACTGTCCCGCTTCAGGAAAAGTGAGACCCATGGATACTGTCCCAGCGTACGAAGGTAGGTCTGGAGGAAAGCACAAGTTAAGAACTGGTAGACTTGAGCCAGTGCAGTGGCTCACGCCTGTAATCCTAGCACTTCGGGAGGCCCAGGCATGTGGATCACTTGAGGTCAGGATTTTGAGACCAGCCTGGCCAACATGGTGAAACACCATCTCTACTAAAAATACAAAAACTAGCCGGTGTCATGGTGCATGCCTGTAGTCCCAGCTACTCGGGAGGCTGAGGCAGGAGAACTGCTTGAACCCAGGAGGTGGAGGTTGCAGTGAGCCGAGATTGCGCTGCTGCACTCTAGCCTGGGTGACAGAGTGAGACTCCATCTCAATTGGTAGACTTGGATTCTGACTCATCCCAGCTCTGCTCGCTGTTGCCCTGGGCAAGTTGCTGGCCTCCCCAAGCCTCATTTTCCATCTGCAAAATGGGGGACAAAAGTCCCACCAAAGCACAGAGATGAAAGCTCTTGGATTTGACAACTTGGCTTTCAACTCCATATCTTCCATTTAGTGGGGCTGCGTGGCCTTGGGCAAGCTGCCTAACCTCATGTGCAAAATGGAAATATTAACAGCACCCACCTGATGGGGCTGCAGTGAGGACTGAAGGAGAAATGAGGAAGGTGCAGTGCTTGGCCTGGCGCTTAGCAGGATCAGTAAATAGAGGCTATTGTTACCACGTCTGGAAATAGCCACCTGATTAAACAAAGCCTGTGACTCTACTTGGTGGAATATTATGCAGGCACCAAAAAGGATACACAGTAGATGGTGCAGCCCAGGAAATGCCTATGTCCAAATGCCTTCTTCACTAGATCTCTTCAAGGGAATAATTATCTCCATTGACAGAAGGGATAGCTGAGGCTCACAGAAGGGGCCTGAATGGTCCCAGGTCACAGAGCAAGTAAATAGCTGAGCTGGGAATTGAACACAGGGAAAACCTGTCTCGAAATGCAGACTCCATCCTCTTTGTCACAATTCCTGCACATCATATTTTAGAAATTGATTTGCTCAAGTCAGGAGCCTGCAGGCATTTCATTTTGGTTTCTGTCCAGGTGATCATGATGTTTTTTGCCATTGATAATTATTTTTTAAGGCAGATAATAATGTTGACCTGCACTCCCCACCTGGCTGATGTGCAGAGCAAAGGAGCTCAAAGCTGTGTGTGGGATCTGGCAACAGGACAGAGCATGTGAGCAACAGTTAACATCATTCCAGGACTGGGGTGGCTTAGCTTAATACTACACAGTCATTCATTCATTTATTCTACAAGCATTTATTGAGCCTAAAGGTACATGTTCTGGGCTCAGAGGACACAGCAGGGAACCAGAGAAATGACATATTCCTGCCTTCTTAGAGCTGACATCCCTGGGGAAAAGACATACACTAGACAAGTAAACAGACACAAATACTAGAGAGGAAAATAAAGCAGGATCAGGGCATGGGGGCATGGGGTGACGCTCCTTTGTTCATGGTGTCATGGAAGGCCTCTCTGGTAAGGTGCCATAGGAGGCTAAGGTTCAAACAAAGAAAGGAGATAAACCATGATATCCAAGGGAAAAGCATCTGGGCAGAGAAACAGCAAGTGCAAAGGCCCTTAGTCTGTTGGGGCTGCTCTAACAAAATACCATAAAATGGGAAGCTTATAAACAAGTAATTGACTTCTAACCATTCTGGAAGCTGCGAAGTCCAAGATCAGGGCACCAGCAGATTCGGTGTCTAACGACAGACAGCTTGCTTTCTGGTTCCCAGATGGCACTTTCTCACCATGTCCCCACACAGTGGAAAGGACAAGGTGGGCCTCTTTGATGAGGGCACTAATTCCATTTGTGAGGGCTCCACCCTCATGACCTACTCACCTCCCAAAGGCCCCCTTCCTAATACCCTCACACTGGGGATTAGGTTTCAACATAGATTCAGAAGGACACAGTTGGACCACAGCAGGCCCTGAGGCTGAATTATACCTGTGAAGTTCAGGAAACAGCAAGCAGGCCAGTGTGGCTGCAGCGAGTAGGGGAAGGAGGTGGGGAAGGGGTGTGGTGGGCAGCAGATGCTACAGGGCCTCACAGGCCACTGTAGGAACTTCAGAATTTACCATTCAGCATGAAGGATCTGGCTTGTCATTCTCTCATTGGTTGTATTATTTGCATTTTCTTTACCCAACAATTTCCCATTTCTGACCAGATAAAATCTGAACTCCCAGATGTGGCATTCAAAGGCTTTCAGAGTAAGGGGAGGACAGGGAGGTGCTCAGTACCCCACCTCACTTTCCAGCCTCCTGTCCTGCCGCTCCCCACCATACATCGTCACCGCCCCCCTCCCCTCACTACCCTCTGTCACACCTCTGTGCCTTTGCCCATGCAGGGCTCTCTGCCTGCCTTCATTCAGGCTGACACTCAAATACTTGAGGAGCACCTCCCGAGTGCCAGGCCCTAAGGGAGGGGCTGGAGAAATAGTGGTGAGCAAAACTGTCCCTGTCTCTGCTCATCTGGCATCTAGCAGAGAACAGCAACACTAACCTGGTAGGTGGGGAACTGTGGGCCGTGGCAACGGCCACTCTGGAGTGAGGGTAGACAGGGAGGCCCTGAAGAGGGAGTGTGGAAGCTGAGACACAAGAACGAGCAGCAGTCAGCCCAGCAAAGAGGTGGGAAGAATGACTAGCCCCCTTGAACAGCACAGCAGAGGGAGGAGGGAGGGAGAAAGAGGGCAGAGCTCGCCTCACCTGAGCCAGGCCGGGAAGGGAGCTCAGCAAATAGGCAGCGCCCGCCAGGCTCAGCGGCAGGTAAACAGGACTCTGTGCCACACCTGCTGCCCCCTCACCGCCCGCAGCCGCACAGGGATCAATATTTGCCTACAGACCTGTCTTGCCTGATGAGTGTTTGGGCATCCGCCAGGCAGGCCTGGCTGGAGGGGAGCTGGCAAGAAGCAGGACAGTCCTGGGGGATTCCAGCGCCTCACTGCCTGTAGCCCTGAGATGTGGGACCCAGACCAAGAAGAACCACAGCCAGGAGCCATGGGCAGGGCATCACCAAAGTCCTTCACTACTGCTCCAGCGGGGTTAGGAAGGCCTGATGCCAGGAAACCAAGGATAGAGTGACCCCAAAAAGGGCAGCCCACCTCCACACCTGACCACAGCTGCCGACCGCAGAGCAGCCGCTGCCTGTGTCCCCCACCCTTTCTCACTCACTTCTCCTCCTTCTTCTAAATACACTAAATGCATGCCGGGAATAAATTAATTCTGTATCAGATAGTTGAGAGAACTGCAGAATTATACATCTCCACCTTGTACCTTCTGAATTTTTGTGCATTATTGGGTATTCAAATGAGTAAACAAATAGTAAGGTGCTTATTTTCATAATTTTAAAAAATCAAATTGTAAAGATTAATTCATTGAAAACGAAGTCCCCTGACCCCCTAATTCTACTTCACAACTTATCTTCATCTTAACTCTGGTAAGATTTCATTTTCAGCATAAATAGCATCATATCACACATCCGGTTCTCCCCTAACGACATGGTATACCCTGGGCACCTTTCCACCCCCACACATCTGGGGCTACCTCATTCTTTTTTGCAGCTAAAATGTTTTCCATGTCTTGGATGTACTGGGGTTCGTGTAGACCCATTTTGGTGGACATTTGTTTCCAGTTTTGTTTTGTTTTCTTTCAGTTTTGGTTTTGGCTATTAAAAATAATTCTCTACTGGACAGTCTTTTACTTGCATCTCTGCGTATTTGTTGGAGTTTCTTTGTAGAATACATTCTCAACTGGAGGGCAAATGGCTTGTACACTGTTTACATTTCACAGACATTGCCACAGTGCCCTCCAAAGAGGCTGTGCCCCTTCCCCTCCTACTGCCTCAGCCCAGGAAAGAGACTATTTCCCTGCCCTCAGCTGTCAGGAAACCTTTAGCTCTTTGACAAACTCATGAGTGAAAGATGATAGCTGTTTTATTTGTATTTCTTAATTATTAGTGAAGTTGGTATCTTTTAGGGCTAAGTCATTTGCATTTTTTGATGAATCGCCTCATTATACACTTTACACCGTTTCTTTAAAGGGGTATTCTTTCCTTATTTCATTTCAGCGATGTTTTAGCACCTACTCTGTAGTGGTTTACCACCCCCTTGTGAAACAGGATAGAGTGTGTCTGCACGGAAGCAGGGGGCAGAAGCAAACAAGAGTTCCTGTGTGGGGCATTCCCAACACAAAAGAGAGGTCATCAAGCCTTGAATCTGGTGAGACTTGAAGCATCTGATTACAAATGGACTGAGCCTCCATTTCCTTATCAGTAAAACAGAAAAATACAGTAATTCCTGTCCCTTGGTGAAAAAAAGCACAAAACCGTATGTGTAGGTCAGAATACCAGTCAAAACTGACATAAACCAAAAGGGAACTTATTGGTTCATGTAACTAAAAGCTCCAACTTCAGGCATGGCTGGATCCAGGTGCTCAAACACCATCAAGCATCGTCTGGCTCTCTCCACATTTCAGCTCTGCTTTCCTCTGTGTTAGCTGCATTCTCAACCTAGAGATACTGAGATAGCACCCAGGAGCTCCAGACTTATATCCTATTGATTCAACTATCCACGGAGAGCAGCTCCAGCAAAAACCCAGGGATTCGCTGTGATTGGTCTGGACTGGGTCATGCATCCATCCTCAAGCTAATCACTGAGGCTTGGGTGATAGACGATATAGATTCACCAGGCCTGGAGCTGAGGGATGAGAATGAGTCCCATATGAAGCATGTGGCCTGAGCAGGAAGATGAGGAAATTCAGCTGCTGTTACCAAAAGAAAGGACAGGATAAAACTATAGATGTCCCTCTGCGAGATTTTAGCCCTGCCTCAGCTATGTGACCCTGGACAAATTATTTCTCCTCTCCAGCCCTTGAGTTCCCTACCTGTAAGATTCTGACTTCAAACTCAATTGCTGATTTTGATACCTTTTGTAGCAGAAAACTTTTTTACTTTTCAATAAACAATACATGGAACCCAAAACACAGAACAGATAAGAGCTGTATTTTATTAGAAATGTTACTTGTGTTTAATTTTTATTTTACTTTACGCTCTGGGATACATGTGCAGAACATGCAGGTTTGTTACATAGGTATACATGTGTCATGGTGGTTTGCTGCACCTATCAACCCATCATCTAGGTTTTAAGCCCCACATGCATTAGGTATTTGTCCTAATGCTGTCCCTCCCCTGGCCCCTCACCCCCCAACAGGCCCCGGTGTGTGATGTTCCCCTCCCTGTGTCCATGTGTCCTCATTGCTCAACTCCCACTTATGAGTGAGAACATGCGGTGTTTGGTTTTCTGTTCCTGTGTTAAGTTTGCTGAGGATGATGGTTTCCAGCTCTATCCATGTCCCTGCAAAGGACATGAACTCATTTTTTATGGCTGCATAGTATTCCATGGTGTGTATGTGCCACATTTTCTTTATCCAATCTATCATTGATGGGCATTTGGGTTGGTTCCAAGTCTTTGCTATTGTAAATAGTGCTGCAGTAAACATACCTGTGCATGTGTCTTTATAGTAGAATGCTTTATCATCCTTTGGGTATATACCCAGTAATGGGATTGCTGGGTCAAATGGTATTTCTGGTTCTAGATCCTTGAGGAATCACCATACTGTCTTCCACAATGGTTGAACTAATTTACACTCCCACCAATAGCGTAAAAGTGTTCCTATTTCTCCAAAGCCTCGCCAGCATCTGTTGTTTCCTGACTTTTTAATAACCTCCTTCCTAACTGGCGTGAGATGGTATCTCATTGTGGTTTTGATTTGCAAAAAATGTTATTTGTTTGATCCAGTATTAGTCAGGATAGACCAGAATCTGCTGTAATAAATAAACCCCAATATCTCAGTGGCTTAACACACAAAGGTTTGCTTCTTGCTCCTGTCACTGTTCGGTGCAGGTCAGGGAACTCTTCTTAGCAGATCTTCTCTACCCCTCAACCAGTGGTCCAGAGACCCACCCTCCCACCATCTGTGGTTCTGCCATGATACAGCTCTGGCCTCTGTGTAAGGGGAAGAAGCCACAAACTCCATGTCTGCCCACATCCCAGGGGCCCTCAGCATCCAGTCACAGGCCTCTATTCAAAGGCAAGAAACTCTGGGAAATGTAATCTTCCTCTACTGGAAAAGGAAAATGACACTGTATGTTCTATAACATTTACTTATTATAAGGTCAGTCATTGAGAACAATGAGGTTGTTTTGATAGATCAAAAAGAATAAGAAATTCCGCTGGGCGTGGTGGCTCACGCCTGTAATCGCAAAACTCTGGGAGGCCGAGGCGGGTGGGTCGCTTGAGGTCAGGAGTTTGAGACCAGCCTGGCCAACATGGTGAAACCCCGTCTCTACCAAACATACAAAAATTAGCTGGGCGTGGTGGTGGGCGCCTGTAATCCCAGCTACTCGGGAGGCTGAGGCAGGAGAATGGCTTGAACCACTGCACACCAGGCTGGGTGACAGAACGAGACTCTGTCTGAAAAAACAAACAAACAAACAAAGAAATTAGATATCATGGATGACAGATTTAGTCATGTCTCAACCTCAGCACTGACTTTAAGCTTCAAAACTTTTAAACTTTTTAAAGTTGCAAATATATTAAGAAAATCCCAGGTCAACAAGTAATAGCAGTTGAAAATCCTAGCAGTATTTAGAACCTTGCTTTGCTTGCAATTTTTAGGGTCCTCTTTACTTGTACAGAGATAGCAGGACAAACTTCAGTGTCAAACTTACTGACAACTGAGTTAATGGCAGAAGAAACTGTGCTGGCCATCTCCAGATGCTAACATTTAGTATGCAATATATCCAAGGGTTTTTGTTCTGTTTATTACAATGCTCAAATCCATATTTCAAATGTGAAGCTCAAATACAGTGTTTGCGGAGGGCTCTGTTCTGGAGCGCACAGTGCCAGAGGACCTTTGGGTTTCATAATGCATATGCATCTAAGCAGAGAATGGCTGGGTGTCCTCAGGCAAGACGTTTCCCCTCATTAGGCCTTGGTCTTTTCATCTATAATAGGGAAGGCTCAGCAAACCCCAGGGCCTCGACCAGAAAACAAATAAACAAACAGACCACACACAAACACACAAAGATCCTTTGCTTTTGGTGAAGGCATCTGCCACGTTGTGACAATGCTCAGGTAGACTAGATCGGGCAACGGAGAAAGAACCTCAGGCTTCCAGACATCAGCCACTGAACAAGCCTGGAGACGTCTGCTTCAGCTGGAAGCTTTATTGCAACCTCATGAGAGACTCTGAGCCAGAACCATCCAGCTAAGCTGCTTTCAGATTTCTAACCGTCGGGCACTGTGAGATAAAAATATTTGTGGTGTTAAATGCTATGTTTTGGAGTATTTTGTTACCCAGCAGCAGATAACTAATACAGATGATAAAGGGAATGATTTCATCTTCTTAGGTGTGATACTGGTGGTGTGATTATGCAGGAGACTGCCCTTATTTTTAGGAGTTTCAGGCCAATGTAGTTAGTGATTTAGTGGTGAAATGTCCTGATACCTCTACAATTTAGTTTCAAATGGTCCAGCAAATATATAAACATGGCAGGCGTGCGTGCACACACACACACACACACACTCACACACACAGTTCCTGAATCCAGGTGCTAAGTATACAAATAATCATTGTATCATTCTTTTAACGACTCTGTATCTTTGAAAATTCTCACAATAAAAACTTAAAGAATTTCTGCTTCTAGCCAAGATGAAGTAACAGAATCTTGATTTATCCTACCACTGAAAACAACCAAGAAACCATTAAAAATATATGAAATAGGCCAGGGAACAGTGGCTCACACTTGTAATCCCAGCACTTTGGGAGGCCAAGGTGGGTGGATCACTTGAGGCCAGGAGTTCGATACCAGCCTGGCCAACATGGTGAAAACTCATCTTTACTAAAAATACAAAAATTAGCCCAGCATGGTGGCAGGTGCCTGTAATCCCAGCTACTTGGGAAGCTGAGGCAGAAGAATTGCTTGAGCCCAGGAGGCGGAGGTTGCAGGGAGCCAAGATCACACCACTGCACTCCAGCCTGAGCAACAGAGCGAGACCCTGTCTCAAATATATATATATACATATATCTAATATTTTATATATAAAATACATATATTTATATATAAATAAAATAATGAAATAGCAGTTTTCAAGACACTGGACACCAGACAACAACAAAGGACAGTGATCTCTGAGAGATGCAAAATAAGACAAACCCTGTAATTTTCCCCAATCACCGTATTAACAGAGATTCCCAACCATAACCCAGCGCAGGCGAACTGAGGCAGATCCCAGCAGACTCCCTATATTGAGGAGATAGAGCTTCTTCTCAATGTCTGCCTACAAACTCTTGTTTGTGTTAAAATCTTCCATTCATTGAAAGAAAACACTAACTGATGAATCATTTGGAAAGCAAGCTTCTTTTTACTTTCTGGGGCTGAATATCTCCATTGGCCTGTGGATGCATATGAGAGTAAGAAATTTCTTCTACTAGATTCTTCTTGATATCTACCTACGATCTCCCTTTTGTCTTAAGATTTTCCACTCCAGGAAGGGAGACAAAAGCAGAGTTTCTAGAGCAGATTGCAGAGAAAAGGTAACTGCCCAGAGAGAGAGCACCAGAAATCTGCAGTGGGTCTCCCTCATGGAAACGGCAGAGTATCGGTCAACTCATGTATGCAATAAAAATACCTGAGGCTAGGCCAGGCATGGTGGGCACACACCTACAGTCCCAGCTACTCAGGAGGCTGAGGTGGGAGGATCGCTTGAGCTCAGGAGTTCAAGACTGTAGTGTGTGATGATCATGCCTGTGAATAGCCACTGCACTCCAGCCTGGGCAACACAGTGAGAACTCATCTCTAAAACAAACAAAATATAAAAGAAACCTGAGGCTGTGGAAACAAACAAACAAACAAACATCTGAAAGGATTCAAAGCAGTAGTATCTCGCACTCACACAGGGCTAAGAACAGTGCTTACTGACACCAGGCGGACGTTAAAATCGAACAATTCACGGATCATTGGGTGGAGCACTCACAAGGGTCTTTCTTTAGTCATGTGGAATAATTAGTCCTAGACTAAGCATCGCTCTAAACCTTCCTAACAAATAATAAAAGCAAGACCCCAGGAAGATCAAACTATTTCCAAGTAAATTGCATTCCAGAGCAAATATTTATAAAAATACAAACATATTAAACACCTGACAAAGTAAAATTCACATATGGCATTCAATCATCAGGGATTATCAAGCATGCATAGAGGTGGCAAAAACACAAACTATAATGAGGACAATAATCAATAAATCAAACTGACCAAGAACTGACACAGATGTAAGAATTAGCAAAGAAAGGCTGGGTGCAGTGGCTTATGCCTATAATCCCAGCACTTTGGGAGGCTAAGGCAGGTGGATCATTTGAGGCCAAGAGTTTGAGACCAGCCTGGCCAACATGGCAAAACCCCATCTCTACTAAAAATACAGAAATAAGCTAGGTGTCATGGCAGGCACCTGTAATCCCAGGTACTCATGAGGCTGAGGTAGGAGAATGGCTTGAACCCATGAGGCAAAGGCTCCAGTGAGCCAAGACTGTGCCACTGCACTCCAGCCTGGGCAACAGAACAAGACTCCATTTCAAAAAAAAAAAAATCATCAAAGTACATTAAAACAGTTATGAAAATTATGCTCTATAAATTCAACATTAGGTAGAGATATGGAAGATATACCAAATACCCAAATCAAACTTCTAGAGATAAAATTTATAATGTTTAAGAGGAAAAATATATTGTATAAGATTAAGAGCAGATGAGACATCGCAGAAAAAAAGATTAGTGAACTTGAAGACATAGAAATTACCCATAATTACACAGAAGAAAAAAGAAAAAAATAAAAAGAGCATCAACAACTCTATGTCCAAAATTTAATAACTTAATTGAAATTGACCATTTACTTGAAGGACACAATCTACCAAAACTCACACAAAGAGAAATAGACAATCTGATAGGCCTGTATCTTTAACAAAATTTAACCAGAATTAATAACCTTCCAAAACAGAAAACATCAGGTCCAGCTGATTTCACTGGTAAACTGTACCACTTAAGGAAGAAATGATAATCCTCTATCATCTCTTCCAGAACACTTCTTAACTTATTCTGTGAGTCCAGCATTACCCTAATATCAAAACCAGATAAAGAAATTACAAGAAAGGAAGACTTCAGATCAACATCTTTCAAGAACATAAATACAAAAATCTTCAGCAAAACATTAGCAAATCAAATTCAACAATGTATTTTTAAAAAACTACATGCCATGGCTAAGTGGAATTTATTACAGGTACGCAAAGCTGATTCAAGATTCAAATGGCAGCAAAGATGGTGGAATGATCACGCTGCTGCAAACTGGCCTCTTGGCCAGGGGGCCAGCTGCTTTCTGGGAGGCCGAGTGTGTCTGTTGGACTGTGCAAGGAGAAGAAAAAAAGATATCAACCAGAGGAAAGGAATGGAATATTTTTCTTCCCTACCTTACAGCGGGGAGTAATAATCTACTCTAAAGCAAAGGTCTTAAGTAGGTGACTATAAACTATTGGAAATTTTATGCACAATTACACATTTTTGTAGAAAGAAGAAGGTCCATAATATCAGCAGATTCTCAAACAGGACAGTGTTCCGTAAAAGCTTGAGAACCGCTTCTCTGCGACTTCTGACATCTTTTTAAATTAACCCCAGTGCAGCTTCCTTAACACAGGAAGAACATCTTTTCTCGAACTTTAGGTGCCTTGATATGCATCTCAAAAAAAAAAAAATCTGAACTCGGGACGTGGCAAGTATCTCTATGTTGTCTCCTAAAGCGGGCAGTCCTGCTTCTTTTATCCAGTTACTTTCTCTGTTCTTGAAATGTGGTTGTCTCTTCTCTACACATTACCTCCATGGCTTGGAATGGAAAAGGCCACTTTTCTTTTTGTTCTACGTCTCAGATTCAACACAGAGATGCCCCTAGGATTGCAGTTATCCTGTCAACTTCTCCAGGAAGAAAAAAGCAACTAGCATAGGTTTTCTGCTGCTATTTCCTTAATTATAAAGACATTCTTTTGCAAGCTGAAGACTGATGTTTCATTTGAAACAGGGGCTTAGGTGGTAGTATTTGTGAATTATTTACTTTTTGTTCCAAACAAGAAGACTAAATAAACAGCAAGCATGGATAACTTCAGGGTTTTTTTAATGTCTTCTCATGTCAGCCATTATCACGAGACTACAGCAGTAAATTCCAAATATGTGGTTCTAATTTGAAATGAAAGATACTAAAAAGTTACATATATTTACATATCTAAATCCTGGCTCATCTTGTAACACGGATTTACTGAATAAGAACAAAGGTCCAATTTTGCAAGTAAACCTTTGATGTGATAAGCCTGAAGATAACGAAGTTAATTTCATATGCAATTAAAATCATCACAGTATCTGTACAGTTTTAAAAAACATTCAAAAGTCAATAAATATAATCTGTCACATCAAGAAGCTAAAGAAAAAAATCATATGCTCATATGAATAAATGGATAAAAAGCATTTGACAAAATCCAACCTCCATCTCGATAAAAATTCAGCAAACTAGAAATAGAGGAGAAATTCCTCAGTTTAATACAGAACATCTATAAAAAACCTACAGCTACTGTCGTACTTCATGATGAGAAACTGGATGTCTCCCCCTAAGATTAGGATGTACTCTCTCATCATTCCTATTCAACATTGTACTGGAAGTTCTAGCTGATGACCTAAGACAAGAAAAGGAGATAAATATACACAGATTGGAAAGAAATAAATGAAAACTGTCCTTGTTCACAGGTGACATGATTTTTATATAGAAAAATCCTAAAGAATTAACAAACCTGAACCAATGATCAATTATAGCAAGCTTGCCAGGATAAAAGGTTTATACATAAGTCAATTGTTTTCCTATATACCAGCAACGAACCACTGAAATTTGAAATTTCAAACACAATACCATTTATATTAGCATTAAAAAATACTTGGTTATGAATCTAATAAAATATGTATAAGATCTACATGACGAAAACTACAAAACTGATTAAAGATATCAAAAGAAATCTAAATAAATAGATACTTCATGTTTATGAAGAGGAAGACTCAATATTGCCAAGACGTCAGTTGATCTATAGATTCAATGCCATCCCAGTCAAAATTTCAGCAAGTTATTTTGTGGATTTTGACAAACTGGTTCTAAAATTTATATGGAAAGATGAATGACCCAGAATAGCCAACACAGTACTAAGGAAAAACAGTCAGGGGACCAATAATATCTGATTCAAGACTCACTGTAACGCTACAGTAATCAAGACAGTGTAGTATTAGTAAAAGAATAGATGAATAGATCAATGGAACAGAACAGAGACCAGAAATAGACCTATACAAGTAGTCAACTGATCTTTGACATAGGAGCAAAGGCAATTCAAGGGTAGCAAAGGCAATGGAGCAAGGGGTAGTGTTTTCAACAAATGGTGCCGAAACAAGTGGACATGCAACATCACATGCAGAAACAACAGGGAAGGAAGAAAGTAAGGAAGGAAGAAAGGAAGGGAGGGAGGGAGGGAGAGATGGAGGGAGGGAAGGTTCTAGACACAGACCTTACACCTTTCATAAAAATTTGCTCAAAATGAATCATAGACCTAAATGTAAACTACTAGAAGATGACATAGGAGAAAATCTAAATAACCCTGGGTTTGGCAATGACTTTTATTATACAACACCAAAACCCTGATTCATGAAAGAAATACTTGAAAAATTGGACTTCATTAAAAATTACAAACTTCTGATCTGAGAAAGTCCTTGATAAGAGAATGCAAAGACAAGTCACACAGTAGGAGAAAATATTTGCCAAACACATAAAAGACTGGCATCCAAAATATGTGAAGATCTTTTAAAACTCAACAATAAGAAACAAACAAGCCAAATTTAAAATGGCAAAAGATCTAAGCAGACATCTCATCAAAGAAGATACATAAATTACAAATAAACATAGAAAAGATGCTCAACATCATATGTCTTTAGGAAACTGCAAATCAAACCAACAATGGGATAGCACTATATACCATTTAGCAGAATGACTAAAAATCTGACAATACCAGAGGCTAACAAGGATCCGAGGCAACAGGAACTCTCAGGAACTCTCATTTATTGCTGGTGGGAATACAAAATGTTGCAGCCACTCTAGAAGACAATTTGGTAGTTTCTTACAAAATTAAACATTCTCTTACCATACAATCCAGCAACCATGTTCCTAGGTACTTAAGTAATTGGGTTGAACACATATGTCTACATAAAAACCTGTATATGAATGTTTATTATGGCTTTATTCATAATTGCCCCAAACTGGAAGCAACCAGGATGTCCTTCAATAGGTGAATGGTAAAAACAAACATATATACAATAGAATATTATTGATGGATAAAAAGAGATGAGCTATCAAGCCATAATAAGACCTGAAGGAAGTATAAATGAGTATTGCTAAATGAAAGAAATCAGTTTGAAAAAGGCTACATACTGTGTGATTCCAACTATATGACATTCTGGAAAAGGCAAATCTAGACAGACAATAAAAGATAGTGGTTTCCAGGGAGAGGGGAAGCAGGTACATTTAGGGGAAGCAGGTACATTTAGGGGAAGCAGGTACATTTAGGTGGAGCATAGGGGATTGTTTTCAAGGCAGAGAAATGATTCTGTATGATACTGTAATGGTAGATATATGATATCATCATTTGTCAACATACCTAGAATGTACAACACAAAGAGTGAACCCTAATGTAAACTATGGACTTGAGTTAGCAATAATGGATCAGTGTTGGTTCATCAATTGTAACTAATGTATAACACTAAAAAAGCTATAGGAAGGAGAGGGGAGAATGGACATATGGGAATTATCTACATGATTTTTCTGTACATCTAAAACTGCTCTAAAAAATAAAGTCTATTAATTTTAAAAAAGTATCAGTGAGTTGTGGGACAAGGTCAAGCAGCCTATTATGTATATAATTTGAGTCACCAAATAACAGGAGTGAGGTGGGGACAGAAAAAATATCTGAAGAAACAACGACCAAAAATTTTCTAAACTTGCCATAGATCTAAGAAGCTCAAAGAATCCAAGCACACACCCACACCAAAAAAAAAAAAGAAAAAAAAAAACTGAAGAAAATTACATGTTATAATCAAATTTGTAAAGACCAGTTAGCAAAAGAACATCTTAAAGGCACCCAAAGAAAAAAGAAAAAGGCATGTCATGTAGAGAGAAATCAAAATAAGGATGGCACAGATTTCTTGTCAGAAATATGGCAATCAAGAAGACAGCAGATAAACATCATTAGCCTACTGAAAGAAAAACATTCTCAACGTAATTGACAATAAAATATTTTCACTATACTTAGTTAAAATATTGAAAAATGAAAGTGAAGTAAAGACTTACAAAAGCTGAGGAAATTAATCACCAGCAGATCCACACTATAAGAAATGTTAAAGTGAGGGCTTCGGGCAGAAAAAAATAATACCAGATGGAAATCTGGTTCCAGACAAAGGAATGATGAATACCAAAAATGGTAACTATGTAAGTAAATATATAATTTTTTAAAAATTTTTTGAAACTCCTTACATAAAATTGACCATACAAAAACACTAACAATGTAGTCTGGATTTTAAAACATAAGCAAAAGTAAGATACATGACAATAAGTATAAAGAATAGGAAGGAGGCAACAGAAGTACATTATTCTAAGCTTATACTGTACATGAAGTGGTATAATAGTACTTGCTTGAAGATAGATTGCAATAAATAAACATATACCTTATAAACCCTAAAATAACTACTAAAATAACAGAACAAACAGTTATAGCTAATAATTTACTAATAGTGCACCATATAAAATGGAATCACAGGCCAGGCGTGGTGGTTCACACCTGTAATCCCAGCACATTGGGAGGCCAAGACAGGCAGATTACTTGAGGCCAGGAGTTGAAGACCAGCCTGGCCAAATATAGCGAAACCCCATCTCTACTAAAATACAAAAAAATTAGCTGGGCGTGGTGGTGCATACCCGTAATCTCAGCTACTCGGGAGGCTGAGGCACGAGAATCACTTGAACCCGGGAGGTAGAGGTTGTAGTAAGCTGAGATTGCACCACTGCACTCCAGCCTGGGCAACAGAGCAAGGCTCTGTCTCAAAAACAATAATAATAAATAAAATAGAATTATTAAAAAAATTAATCCAGGAGGATACTGAATGTTCCCAAAACAAAGAAACAATAAAATGTTTGAGATGATGAATATGCTAATTACCCTGATCTGATCACTATACATTATATGTATTGAAACATCACTATGCTTTCCATGAATATATACAATTATTATTTGTCAATTTTAAAAAATAAAATGAAAATTAATCCAAAAAAGTCAGAACAAAAGGAAAAAGGAAACAAAGAACGACGGGAAATAGAACACAAATAAGATGACAGACTTCAAAGTAACTATATTAATAAACACATTAAATATAAGTGATCCAAACATTCCCAATTAAAATACAGGAATTACCAGATTGCATTTTTTTAAAAGGCAGGACCAGACTCTATGCTGTCTACAAGAAACACACTTTAAATATGAAGACACCAATAGGTTAAGAGTAAAAAGATGGAAAATTATATAGCATGTTAACACAGTTCAAAGATAGCTGGAGTGGCCATATTAATATTAGACAAGGTATACTTCAGAGCAAAAACTATTATAAGATAAAAAAGTTTATTTTGTAATAAAGGGGGACAATTAATCAAAAGAACATAACAATTCTATACACCTATGTACCTAATAACAGAAGTTTCAAAATATATGAAGTAAAAAATGATAGCACTGCAGGGAGAAATTTAAAAATCCACGATCATAGTCAGAAATTTTAATATCATCAATAATGAATAGAACAACTATATAGAAAGTCAACAAGAATATAGAAGATGAATAACACTATCAATCAACTTGACCTGATTGACATTTACAGAACATTCCATCCAACAACAACAGAATACACATTCTTCTCAAGTGTACATAGAACATTTAACAAGATAGACCACATTCTGGGTCATAAAACAAATCTCAATAAATTCAGAAGGATTCAAGTCATAAAAAGTGTGTTATCTGACAAAAATATAATTAATTAAAAATCAGCAACAAAAAGATCTCTGGAAAACCCCCAAGTGTTGGGAAATTAAATACCATACTTCAAAATAACCCACGGATCAAAGAAAAAAGTCAAAAGACACTTATATTTTGGACTGAATGAAAGTGAAAATACAACATATCAAAATCTGTGGGAGGCTGCTAACACATCATTTAGTGGGAAATTTATAGCACTAAATGCCTATATTAGAAAATAATAAAGGTCTGCTGGGTGCAGTGGCTCTTGCCTGTAATCCCAACACTTTGGGAGGCCAAGGCAGATCACTTGAGCCCAGGAATTAGCAATCAGCCTGGCCAACACAGAGCATAAAGCATACAAAAAATGCTTTAAAAATTAGCTGGGCATGGTGGCATGCGCCTGTAGTCTCAGCTACTCAGGAGGCTGAGATGGGAGGATCGCTTTAGCCCAGGAGGTTGAGGCTACAGTGAGCTGTACTCCAGTTTGGGTAACAGAGCAAGAACCTGTCTCAAAAGAAAAAAGAAGAAAAGAAAATAATCACATCTTAAATCAGTGAGTCCAACTTTCCCTTTACAAAACTAGAATAAGAAGAGATATTAAATTTAAAATAAACAAAGAGGCTGGGTGCAGTGGCTCATGCCTGTAATCCCAGCACACTGGGAGGCCAAGACGGGCAGATCACTTGAGGTCAGGAGTTCTAGACCAGCCTGGCCAACATGATGAAACACCGTTTCTATTAAAAATACAAAAATTAGCCAGTTGTGGTGGCATGCACCTGTAGTCCCAGCTACTCGGGAGGCTGAGGCACGAGAATCACTTGAACCCAGGAGGCGGAGGTTGCAGCGAGCCAAGATCACACCACTGCACTCCAGCCTGGGCAACAGAGCAAGACCCTGACTCAAATAATAACAGCAATCATCATCATCATCATCATCATCATCATCATCATCATCATCATCATCAAAGAAAATAGTGAGAATGAAAATCAATAAACTACAAAATAGAAAAACAATACAGACAATCAATGAAAATGAAAGCTAGTTGTTTAAAAAGATAAATAAAATTGATAAATTTCTAGCCAGATAGATCAGGAAAAAAGGAAAGAAAATAAAAATTATCAAGATCAAAAATAAGAGAGGTGCCATCAGTACAGATTCTATAGATATTAAAAGGATAAGAGAATACTGTGTACTCTTTATGCCAATAAATCTGAAAACTTAAAGAGACAAATTCATGAAAGATACAAACTACAAAAGCTCACTTAAGAAGCAGTAGTCAAGGGGAATAGCCCCTTATCTATTTTAGAAGTTGCAGTTGTAGTTAAAACCTTCCCACAAAGAAAACTTCCAGTCCACATCACTTCATCGTGAATGTTATCAAATATTTAGGGGAAGAAAAAACGCCAGTTCTACACAAACTCTTCCAAAAAATTGAAGAGGAGCAAATATTCCCCCAATTTGTTCCATGAAGCAAGCATTACCCAGATACCAAAACCAGAAAAAGACATTGTGAGAAAAGAAAACTACAGACCAATAATGCTCATAAATACAGATAGGGAAAAAAAGTCTAAACAAATTTTAGCAATTTGAATCTGACAACATACTAAAAGCATAATAACCAATTGGACTGACTATGTGTCAGAAATTAAAGGTTGGTCATTATTAGAAAAATCAATCAATGTTTAACTTACAATAGTAACTACAAAACAGAAACCATATGATCACTTACACAGAAAAAAGCATTCAAAAAAATTCAATGCCCATTCCTGATTTTTTAGAAAAAATCTCTTAGAAAACTAGGAACAGAAAGGAACCTAACCCGATTAAAAAAAAATCTGCAAACCACTTACAACAAAAAATCACACTTACTGATGAAAGACTGAATGCTTTCCTCCTGAGATCAGAAACAAGACAAGACAAGCTCTCACCACTCCTATTAAACATTGTTCTGGAGTTCGTAGCCAGTAATAAAAGGAAAAAGATACATAAAAGGCATCCTGATTAGAAAGGAAGAAGCAAAACTGTATTTGTCTATGTAGAAAATCCAAAGAAATGCAAAAAAAAGCTACTAGTATGAATAAATGACTTTGGGCAAGATTGCAGGATACAAGACGTGCAGACCAGGGCAGATTATATTTTTGTATGTCAGAAACAATCAGAAATTACAACTTTTTAAAATATCATTTATAAAACATTAAAAATGTGAAACAGACATTTGACAAAAGATGCAGAAGACTAGTACACTCTAAACTATGAAACCTTGCTGAAAGAAGCTCTCAAAGACAAACAAGTAGAAAGATATACCTGGTTATTGGGTCAGAATAGCAGAATAGTCCTTTTTTTTTTTTTTTTTTTTTTTTTTGAGATGGAGTTTCACCCTTGTTGCCCAGTGGCACGATCTTGACTCACTGCAACCTCCGCCTCCTGGGGTCAAGCGATTCTCCTGCCTCAGCCTCCCGAAGAGCTGGGATTACAGGCACCCGCCACCATGTCTGGCTAATATTTTGTATTTTCAGTAGAGACAGGGTTTTGCAGGCTGGTCTCAAACTCCTGACCTCAGGTGATCCACCTGCCTCGGCCTCCCAAAGCGCTGGGATTACCGGCGTGAGCCACCGTGCTCGGCCAGAATAGTCAATATTTAACATGGCAATTCTCCCAGTTTGATCCCTATATGCAACACAATCTTAATAAAAATATCAGGGAGCATTTTTTTGTACAAATTAGCAAGCTAATTTTAAAATTCTAGCAAAGGAGCTAGAATTCACACACACACACACACACGCACACACATTACTCACATATTATTAGGTGTGTGCAAAAGTAATTGTGGTTTTTGCCATTACTTTTGAGAGCAAAACTGCAATTACTTTTGTACCAACCTAATAGAATGGTTTCAGTGAAAAAGACTGACCATAACAAGTATTGGTGAGAATGTAGAGGAAATGGCACTCTCATGGTGGGTGCAGTTAAACACATGCTTACAATATGATCCAGCCGTTCCACTCTTAGGAAATTCCCAAGAGAAAAGGAAATATATATCCATGTAAAAACTTGTACACAAATGTTCAGAGCAGCTTTGTTTGTAAAAGCCAAAAACTGGAAAAAATTCAAATGGCTAACAACAAATCATGATATAGCCATTCAATTGAATATTATTTAGCAATAAACAGGAATGAAATATTTATGCAAACAACAACATAGATTAATCTCAAAATAATTATGCTGAGTGAAAGAAGCCAGACAAAAAAGTACATATTCTATGATTCTAGCTAAAACACTAAGAAATGCAAACTAAATTATAGTAACACAAATGAGAACAGTGCTTTCTTATGGGAGGGTGGCATCCATGGGGGAGTGATGACAGTCAAGAGGACACCGTTGGGACAAAGGCTATGTTCACTATCTCAATTGTGGTAATGGTTTCGTGGATGTATACATCTGTGAAAGTTTATAAAACTGTACACTCTAAATAGATGCAGTTTACTGTCAATCAGCCATACTCCAATAAAAGCCGAGCAACAAATTAAAGCACAGAGGAACATGTTAAATGATACCACAAGAATGCAATCTACAAAATCCACACTGTGAGAGACTCTACAGACAAATGACCCAATGTCTTCAACAAGTAAATTGCAAGAAAAAAGAAAGAGAACCATGGAGAACTTTATGTTAAATAGACTTAAGAGATCTATCAACTAATGGCAATGATCCTGACTTAAATCTAATTCAGACATCCAATTAGAAACTTGACGCCAGGCACGCGGCTCACGCCTGTAATCCCAGCACTTTGGGAGGCTGAGGCGGGCAAATCACTTGAGGCCAGGAGTTCAAGACCAGCCTGGCCAACATGGCAAAACCCTTTCTCTACTAAAAATACAAAAAAATAAGCCGGGCATGGTGGCATATACCTGTAGTCCCAGATATTCAGGAGGCTGAGGATCACTTGAACCCAGGAGGCAGGAGTTGCAGTGAGCCAAGATTGTGCAACTGTACTCCAGCCTGGGCAATGCAGCAAGACTCTGTCTCAAAAACAAAAACAAACAAAAACACCTTGAACATTGGGTATTTTATGATATTAAGAAGGTATTTTTAATGTTTTAGGCATGACAATATTGTGGTTACTAGCTTTTAATCTTTTTTTTTTTTTTGAGATGGGTTCTCACTCTGTCACCCAGGCTGGAGTACAGTGTGATCACTGCTCACTGCAGCTTTGACTTCCTAGACTCAGGCAATCCTCCCACCTCAGCCCCCTCCCAGTAGCTGGGACTACAGGTGCACGCCACCACGCCTAGGTAAATATTTGTATTTTTTGTAGTAGAGATGGGGTTTTGCCATGTTGCCCAGGCTAATCTCAAACTCCTGGAATCAAATGATCCACCCACCTGGGCCTACCAGTGCTAGGATTACAGGTGTGAGCCACCAAGCCTGGCCTTAAAAGAATCTTATTTAGAGATTTGCCTAAGATTTATTCACTCCCTCCACAAGAACTAATTTTTGCCCCCTTTGACACCCTCAACCCTGGTTGAGAACAAGTGCCTTATATTACATTGGTGCAAAAGTAGTTGTGGTTTTTGCCATTGACAGTAATGGCAAAACTCAGCCTCCCAAAGTGCTGGGATTACAGGTATGAGCCACTATGCCCGGCGTCAAGTTTCTAATTGGATGTCTGAATTAGATTCAAATCAGGATCATTACCATTAGTTGATAGATTGAAAGTAATGGCAAAAACCACAACTGCTTTTGCACCAACCTGATATTATTCTACTTTTGTATATGTCTCTAAGTTTTCATTAAAATTTAAAAAATATATTTTTTAAGAAAAAACAAGAGTGTAATCACTCATATAACAAATCACTGGTGAGGGAAAATCCCATTGACCTGGCTTTTCAGCTGACTGGAACCAGAATTCAAATAGCATCAAGACTAACTTGTCAGCTGAGAGGCTTGTGGTTGTATTTTAGACCATAGAGGGGATTTATGACTTCCGTATCAGGAGGAGCCAGAGATAGGATGGGCTTCAGGGAAGAAGTGGTCAACTAGCTAGACCCAGAATCTCTGCTTGTCTCTCTTCTTAAGAATCATTCTCGGCTGGGTGCAGTGGCTCATGCCTGTAATCCCAGCACTTTGGGAGGCCAAAGCAGGCGGATCACTGGAGGTCAGGAATTCGAGACCAGCCTGGCCAATAGGGTGAAACTCTATCTCTACTAAAAATACAAAAATTAGCCGGGCATGGTGGTGCGTGCCTGTAGTCCCAGCTACTCAGGAGGCTGAGGCAGAAGAATCACTTGAACCCCAAAGGCGGAGGTTGCAGTGAGTTGAGATTGCACCACTGCACTCCTGCCTGGGCGATAGAGCGAGACTCCATCTCAAAAAAAAAAAAAAAAAAATCAATCTCAGGCCAGGCGAAGGTGGCTCACGCCTGTAATCACTTTGGGAGGCCAAGGCGAGTGGATCATGTGAGGTCAGGAGTTCAAGACCAGCCTGCCCAACATGGCAAAACCCCATCTCCACTAAAAATACAAAAATTAGCCAGGAGTGGTGGCGGGAGCCTGTAATCCCAGCTACTCGGGAGGCTGAGGCAGGAGAATAGCTTGAACCCAGGTGGCAGAGGTTGCAGTGAGCCAAGATCTCACCATTGCCCTACAGCCTGGGTGACAGAGTGAAACTCCATCTCAAAAAATACATACATACATACATTAAAAAAAAAAAAAGGATCAAACTTATTCCAAGACTGGCTTGCCTGCTGGTCCCAAAATGGAAGCTCACAGGGTAGTTGCATGCTTCCTGGTTGGTTCTCATCCAACAGGAAAGAGACACTGCACTTCAGCATTCAGTACAAGTCTTTAATTCACTCTGATTGGACTAGCCTTGATAACTGCCCATCTTGGGCAGTTTCTGCAGTGGGGAAATGGAATGTGCTGAGTGCCCAGCCCAGGCCAAGTGGTCCACTCTGGGGTCACAGGGACAGGGAGAGTCAATGTTTCTAGGACTACATAGCTCTCTAAACAGAAATCAGGGCTTTTGGAAGGGAGAAAGAGAAACTGCCCATCTTTTCTTTACTTTATTGGCATATGTTTAATTTGTTCCAGTCAGTGTCTCCACAAGGTTAAGAATGTGTTTGCCAGATGATCTGGGAAGACCTACCATTACCCTTTGCTAGAGGGGTAAGTAAGGTTACGAGCTCCAATTTTAAATAAAAAATCTCAGAAAAGGATGTGATTGGCCTGGTTTGAGTCATGTGCTCATGCCTGGACCAATTACTATTGCTGTGGAGGTGGAATGCTATGATTGGCACAGCTAGGGTCAAATGCCCGCCCCCAGGCAGGGAGGCAGTGCTGGGGATGCAGCTCCTGTCTCCCTGAAGACAGAGGGTTGCTCTTAGGTGGACAAAACATTTGGAGTTCTCTCAATGGTTATCAAACAGGGTTATTACGAAAATGTACAATTAAGTTTTCTTTTCTCTTGGGCATCCACTGTGTCTTTAATCCTTATTTTCTTTCCCAAGTCCCCATCCCACCCCACCTTCCAGCGCTCCGAATTTGCCAAGTGGAAGAGCAGGCCCTGGGAAGAAACAAAACAATAAAAACTACTGGATGATTTCTATCGAAGCAGGCTCTGACTCCCCCATGAACATCTTTCTCATCTCAAATAAATAAAATGCAGCGGGGGCTTGAACTAGCCACCATATCCCTGAGACACAGACTCCTCGCCTGTAAATGGAATTAGTAACAGAACCTACCTCACAGGGTAAATGTGATATGAAGTGGGTTGATGCACGTGAAATGCATTCCAAGCATACGGTAGATACTTAATAAATGGTAGCTATTATGTTCCATTCCATTCTACGCTTTAAATAACCCAGTCAGAAGGAAATTTGACTAAAAACAAATTACCCAAGTACATTTCAAAATCTCCTCCATAGCCAAGAAAAGACCACATCACCTTCTTCCCAGGAAACCACCTGTGCCTTGGGTATCACCCACTATTGCCCCCACCTGCAACTCTGCACACCGGACTGACTCCCTTCCACCCTGTTTCTCGGAGATCTGAGGATCTGCACATTAACCTCCCACCACCTCCCTCCCCACCCACCAGTCATCTGTGCTGCCCACCCTGGCAAGCTGTCTCCCTAACACCTCACCTACTCACGGCTTCATTATTTTATTTCCCACCTTTCTCACTCAGAGAAAGGGGGAGGAGCAGAGATAATCCTACAAGCCAGAAGACAGTGGGAGCCGGCTGGACCTAGCTCCTGTCCCCTGGGGCCACGCCATCCACCCACAGCTCCTGCAAGCCTACCCACTGGCCTTCTGGTACTCCCTTCTCCCTCCCCTCACCTCCCTGACCACCCCAACCTGAGCAACCAGTACTTCTTATCCATTACCTCTTCCCTAATCCCTCTTCTCCACTTTCCATGAAAGCCCACAAAGCCAGGCCAAGTTCCAGACCTCCAGGTCTACAGCCCTGGCAAAAAGCCCAATTCTCCTGTCTGGATGGATGCATGAGGTAGAAGGCACACTCCTTTATCTGAAGGGGTTGGGTGTGGGAAGGGGCATTAGGAAAACAACTCATGGAGATCTCTGACTCTCCACAAACTCCTGGGCTCATTAGCCCCGTAGGCCTTGATATATTACTCTCTGAGCCCACCTTTATTGACCTCTCCCAAAAAAAAATATAGTGATGCCAACCCTTCATGTGGTTCTGTCTCCCCTGTGGGAACTACAAGTATAATGGGGACTTGGGTTCAATCCTGGCTCTGCCGTTATAGACCGTGTGACCTTGAACAAGTCTCTTCACCTCTCTGAGGTTCTGTCCCCTTATCTGTAAAATGGGGATGACATGACACCCACCTCGCAGGCTTACTTTGAAAAGCAGAGCAATCACAGGACAATGGGAACACACTTTGTCAAGCTGTCGGTTGTTGTTACAAAGTTCCTTCTAATGTGGGTTTTGAAGGAAAAATAATATATTAAAAAGGTAACACTTCTACTTCTAGCAAGATGGTGTCACAGGGTATGGATTTACTCTTACCTGACACAACCAAAAAGCCAGAAAAAAAAATACATGAAACAACAGTTTTCAGGCCAGTGGTCATCAGGCAACAAATGACAATAATCCCTGTGAGACAGAAAACAAACAAAGTGAGCCTACAGCTGCCCTGCCTCGCTGCCTGGAGTGTCCAGGCTGTAGGGCAGGGAGGGAGAGAAGCAAGGCAGAGGTCTGCAAAATTTGAGTTGGGAGACAGAAGTCTGTAGATACTTAGGTGTCTGCAGTGTGCAGGGCAGATTCTAAAGAGTATACAGCTACACAGAGAACTCTGGAGCTACCTGACGAGTCCCCCAGAGTATGTAGCAAAGCACTGAGCAGTACATGCATTATCCAAGGCCAGGGGAAAAAAACATTCAAGGGCATCTGAGGGAACAGCTTCAGGTTCTGAGGGCCAGGAATAGCGCCTGTTCCTACCAGCCAGATTGTAAAGCCCCAAGCTCCACAGGGCATTCAGTAGAGTACTCAGAGGCTTGCCTTCATAGTGAGGGATAACCAGCCCAACACCACATACAGCTATGGTCTTGTACAACTCATCTTCAAAGCAAGACAAAAAAATAAACTGTTTTCAAATGATTTAACTGCTTTTTAAAACAAAGCTAAGGAACATTTTTAGGAATACTAAAATAGCTAGCAACACAAGGTAAAATTCACAATGCATGACATCCAATAAGAGACTAATAGGCATAAAAAAGAGCAGGAAAACATAACCCATAATAAGGCACAAAATCAATCATAACCAATCTAGAACTAACATGAATATCAGAACGAGCAAAGAAGGACATTATGTTACTATATTTTAGCATATTGTATTATATTATAATATTTTGAAAATATTCCATATTTTTAAAAAGTTAACCAGACACATGGAAGGTATATTTTTATAGACCGAAATTGAATTTTTAGAGATGAAAACTGCAATGTTTGAAATGGAAAATATACTATATGGGATTAACAGCAGATTAGTCATTGCAGGAGAAAATATTAGTGAACTTAAAGACACAGCAATAGAAACTATCCAAAATAAATCACACAAAGGAAAAATGGCTTAAAAAATGAAAGGAATGCCAGTAAACCATGGAACAACTTCAAACAACCTAATATACATGCAACTGAAGTTCCTGAAGAAAAGAATACACAGAAAAATATTTGAAGAAATAACATCCTAAATTTTCTAGATTTGATGAAAACCACAAACCCACAGATCCAAGAAGCTCAATAAACTCCAAGAACAAGAAACATCAATAAAACTACACCAAGACACATCATAATAAAATTGTTCAAAACCAGTAATAAAGAAAATCTTAAAATAGAGGGGAAAATGTCACATATAGAGGGATAAAGATGAAGATAACACAAATTTTTCATCAGAAACAATGCAAGCAAGAAGACAAACAATGTAGCAATATATTTAAAGTATTAAAAAAGACAACCGTAAACCTGGAGATATACCTTGTTATTGGTTAAGAATTATCACAGGATAGAGAACCCAGAAATAAATCCACGTATTTACAGCCAACTGATTTTTGACAAAGATGCCAAGAAAATACACTGAGGAAAGGACACCCTATTCAATAACTGGTGCTGGGAAAATTAGATATCCATATGCAGAAGAATGAAACTGGACCCCATCTCTCACCATATACAAAAATCAGCTCAAGATGGATTAAAGATTTAAACATAAGACCTAAAACTATAAAACTACTAGAAGAAAACATACAGGGGAAACACTTCAGGATATTGGTCTAGACAGAGATTTTTGTGGCTAAGACCTCAAAAGCACAGGCAACAAAAATAAAAATAGACAAGTGGGACTATATTAAACTAAAAAGCTTCTGCACAGAAAACAACCGACAAAGTGAAAAGACAACCCACAGAATGGGATTAAAATATATGCAAACTGTCCATCTGACAAGAGATGAATATCCAGAATGTACAAGGAACTCAAACAACAGTAAAAAAAATAAAAAGTCCCATTAACAAGTGGACAAAGGACATGAATAGACATTTACAAATGGTCAACAGGTATATTAAAGAACACTCAGCATCACTAATCATTAGGGAAATGCAAATCAAAATCACAATGAGATATTCTCCTAGCCCAGTTAGAATGGCTATTACTAAATGACAAAAAGTAACAGATGACAGTGAGGATGTAGAGAAAAGGGAACTTTTATACAGTTGGTGGGTACACAAAATAGAGCAGCCACTATGGAAAAGTGTATGGGGATTTCTCAAAAAACTAAAAACAGAAATGCCATACAGTCTAGCAATCTCACTACTGGGTATTTATCCAAAGGAAAAGAAATCAGTGTATCAAAAGGATACCTGAACTCCACGCTTAGTGAAGCACTATTTACAATAGCAAAGATATAGAATCAACCTAAGTATCCATCAGTGGACAAATGAATAAAGAAAATGTGGTATATATGCACAGTGGAATACTATTTGGTCAAAAAAATGAAATCATATCATTTGCAGCAACATGGATAGAACTGCAGGTCATTATGTTAAGTAAAATAAGCCAGGCATAGAAAGACAAATATCCCATATTCTCATTCAAATGTAAGAGCTAAAAAAGTTAATCTCGTGGAGGTAGAGAACAGAATGATAGACACTAGAGACTTGGATGGGTAAGTGTGGTGCAGGGGGATAAAGAGAGGTTGGTTAATGGTTACAAACATATAGTTTTATAGAAGGAAGAAGTTCTAATGTTTTATAGCAGAGTAGGGTGACTACAGTTACCAATGTGTTTTATATTTCAAAATAGCTTGAAGAGAGGACTTGAAATGTTCCCAAGATATAGATATGATAAATACTTGAGGGGATGGATACCCCAAACACCCTCGTTTGATCATTAAACAGTCTATGCATATAACAAAATGAAACAGGAAATTTTCCCTAAACCCTCTGCAGGCCTCATGACAAGGGTGCTCACTTAGCCTGCAGCTCTCAACCCCTCATGGGAGGGGCAGCACGCAGGTGATGAGGTACAGGAGCCGAGCCAAGGTGAGTGCTTCTGGGTGCCAGCAGGAGCAAAACACCGTGCAGGCCCAAGGCAGCATCAAGTGGGGAGTACTTGTGATCCCTGAAGCTCCAGAGGGCGTGTGTTACAGTGTGCTCTTTTAGCTTTGCCATCCACAGACAGCTTAAGTGTTGAACAGCTCAGTGGGCCCTCTGCCTTTTCACGTGAAGTGGTTGCTCTCCACCAGTGAGGGCAGAGGGTCAGTGTGACAGCCTTTAGTGTTCACACCCGTAGCTCCTGAGCTGTTATTCAGCATCCAGGAATAATCAGGTTGCACGAACAAATTGAAGGGTGGTAAATATGGAGGATTTTATTGCCCATGGAAGTGGCTCTCAGTGGGAAGGAGAGCTAGAAAGGGGATGGAGCAGGAAGGTGTTTTTCTCCAAAGTCCCACCATCAAGCCATTCCTCTGAAGTCAAACTGCTTCTCTCTGATGTTCAGCTGCTTCTTCTCTTCTCCCTTTCTCTGCCCTCTGCCAGTGAAGCCTGGGGTTTTTATGGATAGGGGATGGGGGTGCAGGGTGGGCCAGGGGTGGTTTTGGAAAAGGCAACATTCAAGCAGGAAAACGGGGATGTAAAGTTCTCACTTTGGGTCAGGCTTGAGGGTGGGGCCCTTGCCAGGGACCCTGCCCTTTTCTGCCTGGAATTTCTCTGCCTCCTGGCCCTATCAAAAATATCACATGAACCCCATAAATATGTACAAATACTATAAATCAATTTTTAAAAGAAGAGTCAATATTATTAACATATCAATTCTCCCCAAATTGTTGCATATATTCAACATAACCCCAGTTAAAGTATCAGGAAGCTGTTCTTACAAATTGACAAGCTAATTATAAAGGTCATAGGGAGATGCAAAGAAGCTAGAACTCTCTCACACACACACACACACACACACACACGTACACACACACCCCTCTGAAAAAACAAAGTTGAAGGGTTAGGACTACCAGATTTCAAGAATCATAAAGTTACATTAATCAAGGCAGCATGGTATCGGCATCAAAATAGCCACACAGATCAGTGAAACAGAAGGAAGCGTCAACAAATAAACCCATACATATTCGAATTTTTGACAAAACTGCAAAGGAAATGCAGTAGACAAAAGGCAGCCTTCTTAACAAATGGTGTTAGGACAACCGGATATCCATATGCACAAAGACAAACTTGGATACATACTTGTAATCATCTATAAAAAATTAACTAAAAAATGGATCATAGACCTAAATGTAAAGCCTAAAACTATAAAATTTCTAGAAGAAAACACAGAAAAAAATATTTGGCCTTGAATATCATATCAAAGATTTTTTAATATCTGACACCAAAAGCATGATCCATAAAAGAACAAAGTTCTTGTACATGAGTTCCTTATGTATTCTGGATCTCAATAAATAAATTGGACTTCATCAAAATTACATACTTCTGCACTTTGAAAGACACTTTAAAAAATAAAATGACAAGCCACAGACAGGGAGAAAATATTCGTGAAGAATATATCTGATTAAACATTTATATTCAGAATAAACAAAGAACTTTCAAAACTCAACAATAAGAAAACAAGCAAGCTAATTTTAAAAAACGGTCAAAATATTTTAATAGGCATTTCACCAAAGACATACAGATGGCAAATAAGCACATGAAGAAATGCTCTACAATGTAAGTCATTAGAAAAATGCAAATTAAAACCACAGTGAGATACCATTACATGCCCATTAGGATGGCTTCAATAAAAAGACTGGCTATAACAAGTGTTGGCGAAGGTGTGGGGGAAATGGCACTCTCGTGGTGGTAAAGTTAAACATACACTTACCATATGATGCAGCCATCACACTCCTAGGTGTCTGCCCAGGAGAAGAGGAAATATATATCCGTACAAAGACTTGTACACAAATGTTCATAGAAGCTGTTTGTAACTGCCCCATATTGGAAACAAATGGCCACCAACAGCTAAATGGATAAACAAATTGTGATATATCCATTCAATGGAATACTCTGCGGAAATAAAAATGAACTATTTTTGCAAGAAACAAAATGGATGAATCTCAAAATAATTATGCTGACTAAATGGAGCAAGACAGAAGAGTACATGCTGAGTCAGAGAAATTAGGCAAGAAAAAGAAGTAAAAGGCATCCAAATCTGAAAGGAAGATGTCAAATTACCCTTGTTTGCAAAGGACATGATCTTATACCTAGAAAAAAATTTAAAGATTCCACCAAAAATACACTATGGAGTATTATTCAGCCATAAAAAAGAATGAAATCCTATCATTTGCAGCAACATAAATGAAATTAGAGGTCATTATGTTAAGTGAAATAAGCCAAGCATAAACAGATAAATATTGCATGTTCTCACTCATATGCAGGAGCTAAAAAGGTGGATCTCATGAAGATAGAGAGTAGACTGGTTGTTACCAGAGGCTGGGAAGGGGAAGGAAGAGAGGTGATGATGGGAGAAAATATACATATAAATGTATTTATTTTATTTTTATAATTAAAAAAAATTTTTTTTGAGATGGAGCCTCGGTCTGTTACCCAGGCTGGAGTGCGGTAGTGCAATGTTGCCTCACTGCAACCTCCACTTCCTGGGTTCAAGCGATTCTCCTGCCTCAGCCTCTTGAGTAGCTGGGACTACAGGCATGCTCCACCATGCCGCCTGGCTAATTTTTGTATTTTTAATAGAGACAGGGTTTCACCGTGTTGGCCAGGCTGGTCTCGAACTCCTGATCTCAGGTGATCTGCCCCCCTCGGCCTCCCAAAGTGCTGGGATTACAGGCATGAGCCATCGTGCCCGACCTTATAAATCTATTTATTACCACTGAACTAGACACTTTAAAATGGTAAAGATGGTAAATTAAATATATAATTTACCTCAATTTTTTAAGTAATAATTTTAAAAAGAGTACATGCTGTATGATTCCATTTATACAAAACTCTAGACAAACTAACCACAGTAACGCAAAGCAGATCAGCAGTTGTCTATTGCAGGGAGAGGTGCAGGCACAGAGAGAAATGACAAGGAGATATGAGGAACTGTCTGTAAGTGACAGGTGTATTCACTACCCTGACTGCAGTGATGGGTTTCATGAGAGAATATGTATGTCAAAACTTATCAAACTATCGTATGCTTATCACACACTTTCAACATGTGTAATTTATTGCATGTCAATATGTAAATCAAAAAAGGCATTTAAAAACATAACACAGGAGTAAAGCAGGCACTGCTGCACCCAGTACAATCTACTTCTGGTTTGAAATTATCTTACACTTACAGAAGTGTTGCAAAGACAACACACATTATTTCCAAACACCCTTCCCTCAGATCCCCCTAATGCCAACAGTGTACATAACCACAGTACAATTAGCAAAATTCACACACTCCTCGCTCTCCTCCCTCTCTGGGACAGCCTGCTGCAGTCCAGAAGGTCCATGCCTTTAATAAGAAGGTCCATGCCAGGCCTCCACTCCGGCTTTGCCTCTGCTGCTCTGCGCGCAGTCAGCACTCTCCACACTCCAGATGTCTCACTGGCTCCCCCCAGCCCCATCTCTCACAAGCTCCAGATCCTATAATTAACTGCATCCTCAACGTCTCCCCAGCTATCCCACAGACACCTCGAATGCAGCTCGTCTAAAACTGAATGCATTACTGTTGCAGCATCCCCCACAACCCTTTCTCCTGTGGTCTTTAGCTAAGCAAATGGCATTGTCATCTATACCCCCTCCCTCCACCCCTCCGGCCCCAGTCAGACATCTCTGACATCACCATTCAAGTTCTACTTTCTCCACATGTCGCTCAAACCCCACCCTGCAGGCCCCATCTCTGCTATGGACACCTTGATTCAGGCAGGATGTCAACTGTCCTAAGGCTGTCAGAACAGGCTCTAAACACTCCTCACACTTGAGTCCCTCTGCCTCTAATCCTACTGCCTGGAGTGGTCTCTCTGAAATGCTCACCTACCTATGTCACTTCCTGCTGAAAATCTTACAGTGCCTCCCAAACGCGCATAGGGTGGCATTCTGGCTCTGGGATTCAAGGTCCTCTCCAAATAGGCTTTGACAACCCCTCTTGACTATAACTGGCCAGTTTGCTCCTTGAAGGAGTCATCAAATGACACGAAACTCCTCTTCCTCCTACACCCACCGGACAGCCTCACGCCCCTGCTCCTGTTGTTCCCTCAGCCTAGGTTCTTCCCCATCTTCCCCACTGGGAAACTCCTATCCAGATGCAGCACTATTTCAACCCTTAGAATGAAGCCTTCACAGAAATACGAGGCAGAATTGCAAGTCCTTTCTTGTGTACGAGAGCCTTTTATACATCCTTTGAGGCAGGTTTCTGTGTCTGTCTGCACTGGATGTAAAAGCCTAAACAGCAAAGATTGTTTCTTACTTATCTCCATCCCAGCACAGCCTAGGACTTGGGCCTTATAGACACACTGATGGCTGGATGAATGGATAAAGAGATAAACAGATGTACTCATGGATGGATGGAGAGAGGAGACAAATGGAAAAATGAGTAGATAAAGGACGAATGGGGGGATGGATGGGTAGTGAGATGAACAGATAAGACAAACACCAGATCAGTGATTGCATGGACAGAAACATGAACGTACAAAGGGATGGATGAATGAATGGAAAGTTCCTAGGCATTTCAAGGGCAGAGATTATTTCTTATTCAACTCTGTTTTTATAGGGCCTAGAAGAGGGCCTGGAATATACTAGTAGATGTTCAATATGTGCTACTGGAGGGAAGCGCCAGGTTTTTGTGGGAAAAGTTTTGGACTAACAGTTGGAAGACCTGATTTCCAGCTCTATCTGTATCCTCAATAGTTCATATAAACATGAGCGACCTAACCTCCAATTTTCCATTTACTCTTCTGTAAAGTGGGTAGGTTGAATTAAACCACTTTTAGGTATTTTCCAAATACACTGGCTCCCTGATTTGAAGCTGCCCAAATCTAAGATAAGGCTACAGAATGGGACGAGGGCCACATTTGAGCAAATGTGTGTTTACTTACAACTTGTCCTAATGCAGAGCTGATCCCAGATCTCTGCCAGCAATGGGGGAGAAGAGCAAACACACTCCAAATGAGATTCTGTTCCAACTGTCTGGCTGACAGCCTTGTGGTGGGAATGAGAGACAGGCTGATAAAAGAGCCTGGGGGGTAATTAATAGTGAAACATGAACCTCCGTGAGGCTGTACCCACCTCTCGCTGAATGGAAGGAGGGAAGGGCCGGGCTGCACAAAGCCTTCCCAGGGCCCTTGGCTGCTGGCCAAATGTACCCTTTATCCAGAAAGATGGGCTTTTGTTCACAGAGTATGGGGTCTGTCCCGTTAGATTCACACCTGGACTCCTGGCATGCTGTGGAGTAGCAATTGTACTATGAACACAGCTATCACCACTCCCAGAACAAAGTGTGCCAGGCTGTCTACATGTCCCCTTGACACTTCCAACAACCCTGGGAGGCAGGAAAGGTGATTATCATGAAGGAACATGTAGCTTGTAAGTGGGAGGTTCAGGCTTTGAACCCAGGACAGCCTGACTCTTTGTGCTACGACCGGCTGCTTTCTGCAGACAGCTGCCCTGGAACTGGTCGGATAACATGCCAGAGACATCATAGTTCATGCCACCCCAAACTGCAGTGCCGCCTGCCTGAGCCTGCCTGGACTCTTTGCAAGGTGCTTTCACGTTGATTCAAGCTGGCAGTGTGGGCCATCACTCCTATTGTGCAGATGGGACACTGAGACTCAGGCTGACAGGTGAAGTGACCCAGCCACAGTCACACAACTTGTAAATGGTGGAGCTGGGATTCCATCCCTGGGAACTGGAGTCCCAAGCCAGGTGCTTAATGGGTGAATTATTCTGTTCCATGGTGGTAGCTGTAGTGGACATCTGTGGGTTTTGCCTGGTGACAGCATCTGAATTTTCTTTGTGAAATAACAGTTCCCTCCCCCCACCACCCACCTCAGCTCATGTGATTTGGGCAAAACTAATATGCCCTGTATCTCTGTACTCCTCGCAGGGGTGGGCAGGCAATCCCTGCAGCCATGGTGGATGCATATGACTGACAGTGTCCTGTGATATTCAATTCCACAACTCCAGAGGAAACTACTGATCAAGAGGCATCCTCCTTCTGCTGGGGTTCCCTGAGCTGGTGACTTGGAAGCCAGGAGCTGCCGGAGGCCACCTGTGACACTGCAAAGGGACAATCTGCCAAAGAGTGAAGCCAACACAGAGAAAAGCAGGGGAAAGAGGCAAGCAGTTTCCTAAAGACATATTTTGAGACCCCCGAATCCAGCCACACTTGAATATATTCCAGGTAAATGAGCCAGTGTGAATTTCCTTTCTGCTTAAACCAGTCTGACTCGGGTGCCTCTCACCCACATCTGAGAGGCTCCAAGTCAATACTGCCCCTCATCACACTGAATAACCATCACTTGTTTCCTTGGCTGTTGTCCCATTAGACCCAGGGCACTTGAGGGCAGGGCCTAGTTCAAAGCCATCACGATGTCTCAGTGCCTGATTCCAACCATCCTCGATGAATATTTGCTGAATGAATAAAAACCCAATCTGACTCAATGTTCATTTGTGAACTTATTGGTATATGAGGCCCAAGAGAAGCCTGAATTCTCTAGTCTAACCCACTCTTCCCCTCCTCCTCCTTCCACCTTTCAAGGCCTAATTCCAAAGCCACCTCCTCTGAAGCTGGCCCATGGCCTGCACCCCAGTCCAAAAGTGCTTTCACCCACATCAGGACCTCCATGGTATGTTTCTGCCTTTTACAGTAATTCACACACATGCCTGGCCTCTCCAACCAGACTGAGAAGTCCTGAGGAAAGGGTCTAACATTGATTCATTTTTATATCAAGCTAGCTCCTGGCACCCGCCAACTCAAAAAAAAAAAAAAAAATCTGAATCCAAAGGATCATTTTATTCAATATTCACCAACCCCTAATATAAGTCAGGCACTGAGAATATATGGGTGAATACAGCATAATGGTTAAGAATAATGATGATGATGACAATAGCTACCATCTACTGAGGTATTACTTAGTGCCCAGCACTAATCTAAGCACTTTACATATATTAACTCATTTAACCCTCAGAGAAAACCAATGAGGTGGCTACCATTATCCCCCATTTTACAAATGAAAAAACTAAGGCTCAGACATCAAAGAATTTGCCCAAGGTTGCAAAGATGGTAAGTGGCAGAGCCAGGACTTGAACCCAGGCAATCTGGCTCTGAATCCCTGCTCTTAACTGAATCTTATGCTATAGGATCATGAATACTAAACAGACTGCTTTGTAAAAACCATGGCCTTCTCCTGTCTAATGCCTAATGTCTTTTGGAAAGAGCTGGGCTAAAAATGGAATCGACCATGCCCAGTGATTCTGGAGCTTGGACAGCAGGCAGGTTTTTAGCAAACTGGAGTCAGACACACTGGTCTGAATTTCTAATAGCACCATTCTTTGGCCCGATGTGTGTTACTGGGACCTCCCTGAGCCTCAGTTTCTGCAGGATTAATAATCTCACGGGCAGTTACCGGGCTTAGAAGAGTTAACACATGAAAATCACTTAGCATAGTACCTGGCTCCTACCACACAATCAGTGAGCGGACGCTGCTGTCACTAGTACCTTTTATTATTATTATGGAATAAAGCAAATGTACAGGGCTTGGGACAAGGTATACTGTCCAATATTATAAATGTGCTTCTGGTTTTTTTTTTTTTTCTTTCTTTCTATAACCTTGAAAGAATACCTGCCCTTCTCTAAAATGATTCAACTAGGGCTGCTTACCAGGCCCACAGAAAGCCCTGCTGCCAGCCGGCCTTCAAAATGGATTAAGGATTTGGAGTTCTCTTCATTTCTCCACTCACAGGATCAAAGGGTGCGGGCGAGGACTGGGAAGCGGGGGAGGAAATGCAAGATGGAACAGGCCCCAAGTTTTTAACTGGCATAAGAGCAACTGTGGTTCATCCTAGGCTCAGCTGAGCTGCAGGGAGCAGGCCCCCATGATCTGTACAGCCTGTGCCCTTGAGAAATAAACACAACTGCCAGAAAGCAGCACGCTTCAGCTACTGCTAATCCCAGGCTACAAGACAAGCAGGAAATCAGAGGTGCCCTGTGATGTGTTTTCCAAAAAGCGTCAGCAAGTACACAGAGCAAGGAGGAGGGGACAGTCCAATGCAAATACACAATTGGGTTTCAGAACAGGGAATAAAGGCTGAACGCACAGACCAGCCCCAACCGAGGGCACACAATGCTCCATCCTCAGCCTTGACTCCACTGCCCTCTAGAGGACACACAGGCACCAGCCGACAGGTTTTCAGCAAGTTCCCGCTGTGGAAGGAAGCAACGTGTTCTCCTATGAGGGAGGATCATAGGCTTTGAGCCACTGAGAAAACAGATGCCCTCCATCCCTCAGCCACGAGCCTCGTTCAGCCTCTCTTTCATCTCTCCCTTGGACTTCAGCAACAGCCTCCTCACTGGTATTAATAAAATAATAAAACGATCCTCTATTAAATGCTGACCACAGGCACTGTGCTGAGGGATTATACACGTTAAATCATGGGATTCTTACAACATCCTAGGAAGTAGGTAGCATTCCAATTTACAGATGAGGAAACTAAGGCTCACACAGGTTAGAGGACCTGGCCAAGGCCACATAGCTAGCTACAAGTAGAAGATCTAAAGTTGAAACCCAGCAAGGGTTTAAACCCTGGGCAAGGGCCCTGTATCTATCTGACTAACCACTTTACCAACATTAGCGGCAGCAGCAACAGCGACCCCTGAGAATGTTAGAAAATCAAACTCTCAGCTGGGCTCACACCTGTAATCCCAGCACTTTGGGAGGCCGAGGTGGGCAGATCACGAGGCCAGGAGTATGAGACCAGCCTGGCCAACATGGTGAAACCCCATCTCTACTAAAAATACAAAAAGAAAAAATAAAAATTAGCCGGACATGGTGGCAGGCACCTGTAATCCCAGCTACTGGGGAGGCTGAAGCAGGAGAATTGCTTGAACCCAGGAAGGCTGAGGTTGCAGTGAACCGAGATCGCACGATTGCACTCCTGCCTAAGCAACAAGAGCAAGACTCTGTCTCAAAAAACAAACAAACAAAAATAAAACTCTCAGAGTGGGATCTAGCAACACGTGCTTTAACAGCTCCTCCAGATACTTAGATGCACCCTAGCTTGAGAAGCTCTGCACTAGACGGAGTTGCTTCAAGAAACTCTCTCCCTCAATCATGACATTTCCACACTGCCCCAGGTGGTCTTCCTAAAACACAACTCAAACTCTTTAAAGGCCTTAGAACTCCACTGGCAGGCCCCGGGCCTAACTCAGCACAGCAGTCAGGCCCTCCACAGCCCCTTAAATCCATGAGAAGCAGGACTTGGAGAGAGAACCCGATCGAGCATCTCCTCTATCGTGTACAAGCTCTGCCCTAGTCCTGAGCCTACAGGAGGGTACTTAGTCCTTGTTGGTGAGAAAATCCTTCTGCCCAGAATAGAGAGACTGAAACTGGGACAGGTGACAAGATGTACTCATGTTCATGCAGCCAGCAAGCGCCAAGGCCAAGATCAGCGCGTGGGACCATTTGACCCCACAGCCCAAGTGCTTCCAAGGCAAATAGGGCCAAACTGGTTAGGAAGCTGGGCCAGGGGCCCATGGCTGTGGGCTCTGACATCCAAACAGGCACAGGCTTCCCACCCCAGGTTCTGGTCTTTAACAAAGTGACCCAGCCAATATCCAGCTGATTTCATCCAAAGAGCCTTCATGGGTAAATCCCAGTCTTGACCTCCTCCTCTGTGACCCTAATAGTAGTGGGATAGGAGCTGGGAGAGGCCAAAGCCCTGAAAGGATCCTCAAGAAACCACATCCTGCTGGGCGCGTGGCTCACGCCTGTAATCCCAGCACGTGGGAGGCCAAGGCAGGCAGATCATCTGAGGTCAGGAGTTTGAGACCAGCCTGGCCAACATGCTGAAACCTCATCTCTACTAAAAAATACACAAATTAGCTGGGTGTATTGGCACACACCTGTGGTCCCAGCTACTCGGGAGGCTGAGGCAGGAGAATCGCTTGAACCCGGGAGGTGGAGGTTGCAGTGAGCCAAGATCACGCCACTGCACTCCAGCCTGGGTGAGACTCAGTCTCGAAAAAAGAAAAAAAAAAAAAAAAGAAAAGAAACCACACCCAGAAAAGACATGCATTAGACCATGACAGACAAGGTAGAAGAGTCCAAATATGTCAGTCAACACTCTCCTCAGTGCAAGACTGTTCAAGGAGTCCATCCTCACCCTGCCTGCCCCGCTGCCCTGCTCCTTGTCCACACCAGACCAGGATGGTGCATGTCTCCACGCCTTTGCAGACACCAGCCCCTCTGCCTCAAACCTTCTCCAAGAGCTGCCCAGCAGATTCCTACCCACCCTTCTAAGACAAACCCCAGTGCCTTCTTCAGGAAGCCTTCTCCCTCCACTCCCAGGCACTGTTGTGCCATTTCTGTGACAACACTCACCTTTCCACAGATCAGAGAAGCACCAGGGCCTAGGATGGTGGTTCTCCATCCTGTTAGAATCCCCTGGGGAGCTTGCTTGGCATGGAGAATGAACATCAGGTGGTTCCAGTATATAGCCAGGATCAAGAAAATTGACCTCCTGGAAGACCTGGGCTTTGAAGCTGCACACAAATGTATAGATCCTGCTTCTCTGCCTCACAGCTGAGTCACTGGAGCAAGGAAACACAACCTGCTTCCCACCCTGTGAACTGGGGATTACAGCACCTACCATGCTGAGATCCCACCTTCTTGCCTCCTCCCCACCAAGCAAGGACTAACCGCCTGCTTGTCATTCTGCCCAGATTGGTAACTCCTTTCTCGTGCATTCGTTTACTTAATGGCTATTTATTGAACACCTGCTGAGTACTACCAGGCACGGTGCTGGAGATGTGGGGTACGGCAATGAACATGTCAGGCAAAATTGCTAGAACATCTGGCAGTTTACCTGGGGAGACAGCCACAAAGGAAGCAAACAGGAGTAGCTTCCCATGATAAGCACGCTGAATAAAATTAAAGTCGGTGGGAAGAGATCCAGCAATGGGGCAAAGGGAGGCTACATTAACATTCAGGTTAGAGAGGACTGCTTCTAAATTAAGACCTAAATGCTGAGAAAGCAGCCTGGGAAGATCAGATCTGAGGAAGGTGGAGTGAGAGCCAATGGAGTGTTCTAGGCAAGGGAGAGGTGGGATCTGTCTTGCTTTTTAATGAAACCACTCACATGAATTGTCACCATCTGCACACCAGGCTGTGGGACCTTCACCTCTGTACCCTCAGTGTTCCAGTCAGGCCTGGCACAGGAGAGGGGTTGAGTGACTGGCTGAATAAATGAACCCTCTTCCCCTGAATGTGTTGTTTCCAGGTCTCCAAGCTAAAGCTTCTCTGTCCCCTGGCTTCTGCCCATCAGCAGTGTGACATCTTTCCCACAAAGAACCAGGTGAATCCCATGTTGATGGTCAAACTCCTAAGACCCTAAGCCTCTACATCTGTGTTACTGTTAAGCCACATCTAGACTAGGCTAAACTTAAACAGCTGGGATGAAAGGAACATGGGCTTCAAACTCATATACAGACCGTTTGACCCTGGACAAGTTCTCTAACCTCCTTGAACCAGTTTTTACCCGTACAGTAGGTCCAAGGTACAGTGGTCTGGTTTATCCCTCTCCCTTGTACAGTCCTAGCCAGATGAGTTCAATTTGTGGTCAACCCAACAGAGCGTGAGAGGGCCTCCTATGTGTTGAGCAAAGCACTTTGGCCGTCATTTTGGAGGAGACACAGCCCATCATAAACGTTCAATAAACAATCACAGGCCTGATCACCCTCAACCTGAACTCAACTGTGATACTTCAGGAGAGCAGCTATTCTCGAAGCTGACTGTAATCCCCCTTGGGGGTACAGTTGATGACCAGCTACAAATCAACCTGTGCCAGCCCAGATTTCCTTTGGTCCTCAAGGACATCCCGAGATGACTGGACAGATTCCTTGCTGCATCTGCACCATTCCCTGACCTGTATTCCAGTAACCTTATCAGGAAGGTAACAGGAAATGTAAATTTATCAACTTGTTCTTGGTAGATCTATGGTGCCCCAGTGGTCCCTGACAGCGGGCAAGTTGTACCCGGTGACTCTGTCACTGACGCTGCTGGTCAGGTGGGCATGTTTTCACAAGCAGGTCTGCTTCTTCTAAGTCGTAAAAGAGTGAGATGCTAGAGGTCTTAAAATTGAACGACTTATGCCTCTTGCCGGATGTCTTAAAATTCAACAACTTATGGCTCTGCATCACTAACCATCCCAAACATGTAAACTGTTAGTAAATCTGTATAAATATTGGCTGAATAGTTTCCAGTTTAGTGTTCCTGAAAGTTAAATGGCCTTAGCTCTACAAATGGGTGATAAAAAATAATTGTCAAATATTCATTTTCTCCAAATCCCATCCTCTTTTCAAGGCTACAGTATCTTCTTTACAACGCTATATCCCTCCCTTTTAGACAATGTGATGAGCCCAGGGGACACTGAAAACCCCTTCCTAAGGTAGGGAGGTTATACAGCACACACGTATGGTATTAGCACCTAGGTAACAAGAGCTGCTGTTTCCTGCACGCCCACAGTGTGCCAGGCATTTACACACAGCAACTCATTGAACCCTCCTAAGTCACATTACCATCAGGCACATCTTAAAGACAAGCAAAATCATGGAGGTGAAGTAATTTGGCTAAAGTCTCCCTGTTAGCAATGGCAGGAAAGGATCTGAACCCAGGTATATCCGTCTCTTACCTACTCACCCAGCCACACTACCAGCCAGTCCAAACTGAAACCACTCAGAACCAGACACCCCTCCCTCCCTCTTCCCTCCAGCGACATCTCCTACTGCCCCTGACCATCTTCACGTCCAGGACACTGACGGCCACACCTTGGCTTGGCTCCAAGCTGCAGCAACGCCCCCCCACCTGTCCCCTGTCCTGCACTCACCTCTGCTCTACCCAAGGCCTGCACTGAGGCCACCCCCTCCCCATACGACCCTTTCCCAGCAGCCTCAGTTAACAGGAGCTTTGCCCCCCTCCTCCTTCACCCGCTGCTGTGCAGTCTGAGTTATGCTCCACTTGTTCACACACACACACACTTATCCATCATGAGCCCAAACTGACTGCAAACGGAAAGCAGATCTCATATTTCTCCTCTGAACCTCCCACTGCGCCCGGGGTGTGATGGATCCATATCCTCCCTTCACAGCACTCACTCTGGAATGATGAACGTTGCTCGCTTGGTGGCGGCACTGGAGCTGAGAAGGATGACAGACCAGTGACAGGTCTCCATGCTCTCGCTAGGAGCTCCTCCACCTCAAGCAAGGGGAAGGCTTATTAAGCACCTCCCTTGTGCCAGGTGCTGTGCTAGACACCGTACAGGCTGTATCTTGTTTAATCTTCCTAACGACCCAAGAAGGGGATTCATTGTCTCCACTTAATGGATGAGCAAAGTGGGTTCAGATAAACCACTGCTGGAGCCAGCTTCAAATCTGATTCTGCCCAAGTTATGAAGCCAGTGTTATCTCCACCGCACCACAGCGTCAGAGAGAGAAAAGAACGCAACGCCTCACCTACATCTGGGTATCTCTGAGTCCGCAACACACTCTGTTCAACCTCTACTCTCTTCCTGAAGAGAGGAATTACCTTTTACATCTGTCTATGGGCTTTTTTCCTTCCAAAGCAGGAAAACATTTCATGGTCCTTTGTGTAACTAAAACCCTTAGGGAGCAGAATACATCTTTCAAACAGGAAAGGGCTCAAGGACATTTCTACCCCATTCCTGGCCACTCTCAACTGAGCCAACCCACACATCACATCGCACCCCAACCAGATTCTCTCTGTCTTCCCTCCCCCAGACCCTACACCCCCCGCCCCTGCAAGACCTCCTAGGAGCCTGCTCTGGGCTTAGCCCCTTCCTTGGATCCACCTGCCTCTGGTCAGGACTCCCTGCACCAGCCTCCCATCCCCACACAGGACCCTCTCCCAGGACTCCAGCTGCTCAGCCTCCCACCCACACAGGTTAAGGTGTGGGGAACAACATGGCACATACACTTCACAAGCTTCCCATGTGGCATGGCTCATCCTACTCTGGATCTCACGCCATCCAAATACCAGGATCTCAGCAAAAGAGATGATACTACAAACTTCACTACCTATCAGTCTGACTTGTCATTCCAGCCAACACAACAGTGGGTCATTGGTATGTGGATACTGCAGTCTGTTTGGGCACATGATGAGTAAGTGTGTGTGTGAACAAGTGCAGCAAATCCTAGACTCTCGCTGCCAACTAAAATCTAGCTTGTAGCTGACCTCCCCACTCACTCCTGACTTGCTGATGTGTGTAGTAGCAACTGCAGAAAATGCCTCGACAGACCAAATAATAAATGGCCAGCTGTGACTCTGAATGGCATCCTTCCAGCTCTGCAGAACTAGAAAATGCACTCAAACCAAAGGGGCCCCGGGTCTGAGACATGTCATTTCCCCAGGATGGACCCACCTTTGAACTCCTCCAGTACTTCAAAGCCAAGGCACAGAGATGGTGTCATCAAGACCTTGAGAGTCTGCAAAAACTCACACACACTGGGACTCCTTGCTCATGGATGTGTGTTCTCCTGTTGCTACAAGTGTCCCACCAGTTAAATGCAAAGTTTCCTCTTGTTTAAGTGACAGGTCGTGTGGATCACTAATTTACATAAACCCAGAGGAGAAAAAAATCCACAAGGATGGAAGAGGGAATCAATCAAATATTAAGATGTAGCCCAAACCCTCAGCATCTGGTACCAGTTCTAGAGGGAATATATAAACATGGCAGAGACCACAGGAATGACAGATGGTTGCAAAAACAAGAAATAATGCATCAAATTTACTCACGGTGACACGAACAACACTCAACTTCTGCCGCTGAGGTGGCAAGTTGGTTTGCAACTGAAAAGACCCTTCATCAGGGAAGGTGAGAAACGCTACTGCAAACACTACTGTGCACACTACTGCACCTGCTCAACACATCACTCACTAATATGGGCCAACAGTTGACTTCTCATGGCCATGGTTTATTCATCTGTGAAGCGGGAATGGCAATACTTGCAGAAACAGAGTAGCCCATTACAAGCAAAGGCACATGGGCCTTTAAACAAACCTACATCTGAATACAGTCACTTGATGAGTAACACTGAGTTACTTAAACTCCCTGAGGTAGTAAAATGGTGATAACACCCACCTCAGAAGGCTGCTGCAAACACTGAGTAACAGCTGATAAAAGTGTTCCTTATAGTAGCAGGCATGTAGTGAATGCCCAGTAACTACAAATGTCTATTAAGACTTGTTGAGTGTTTATAATACTCCCCAACATGGTGCTGTGCACCTTGCCTAACTTATCTTGCCATACTTGGTTTGTCTACCCTTCATGTATGAAGATAAACATGTTTTTATACATAAACATGGACACGAGAAAACTTCTGGAAGGATATACATCAAAATTCTAATAGCAGTTACCTCTTGGTGCTAGGAATGTAATTTTTCTTTTTGCTTATCTTTTTCCAAAATTTTCTACCAACACTATTTCTATATGCCTCAATATTTGCTTTAACACCAAACAAAATTACAATATAATGAAAAACCACTGCTCTTAGGTAACAACCCCCCAAACATAAGCCCTTTTTTTTAGAGGGAAGAACTAATAAAGCTTTGCTTTCCATGAGGAACCAATAAGTGTTTTTCTTTTCAATAAGAAAGCTAACTGACTTACTCCCCTCTTCACTTTGCCACCAGGAAGCTCAGAGTCAAAATTTTAGTTCGGTCATTCAATTAGCTTTGTCCCTATATTTCAGAGGCTTCTTGGTTGGGACATTAAATGACAGAATTATAACATTTAAATTCTCTTTCTGAAATTAAAAAAAAAAAAATACAAAACTGCAACTCAAGGACATAATAATTTTAAAAGTCTTAGAAGTTCCATAATAACAAAAGTCAGTTTATTAAATGCTCAATTCTCAAAATTATATATATATTTTTTTAATTATTTAAAAAAACTTCCATGCCCTTCCATTCCCCTCCCTCCAAACTAGGTATTGTCCAAGTTGTATCAAATGCCACAAAGTCTACCATGCACCCAGAAGCAGAGAAGACAGGAGGTCCAGAGGACAAGGTATGCTGGGGTCACTACTCGCACTGCAGAGTCCACGCGAGTTAACTCATGCTGGGGGCAAAGAATGGAAAGAGCTAATACACAGACAAAGCAAAAGAACGAAATGCGCAGCCTGACCAGAGACGTTTACAATTTATACCAACTTACAAATATTTAGGGTGCCCACCAACTCCGAGAGAACAGACCAAACTAACCACATGAAGGAAGACCTCTGCCGGGGCCTCCTCTCCCTACAACCTCCTCTCAAGAATCATTAGGAAGCCCAAACAGCTTCACAGTTCCGGCTTCCCGGCTGCTGTCATATTTGCCGTCTTTGTCATCACAGGCAAATGCCAGCAGAGGCCTTTTGGGGTGCCATGCCACTGTGAAGGTCGGAGACTCACACTGTACCTCCCATAGTTTGTCCCCTATAGAAAACAATAGAGAGAAACCAATCAATACGTTCAAAACGAAGGACACATTCATTAAGTACTTACCTGTATTAACTGGTTTAATCCACCTACTAATCCCATGAGATAGATACAACTATTACCTCATTTTACAGAGAACCCCCAGGCACAGAGAGCCCACAAGCCAGCGGAGGACAGAGCCGGTTCTGAGCACAGGTGGGTTAACTCAAGAGCAGGTCACTGAGCAGGAAAGTGTCTCCGCGTCACAGGGACATGCAGTTACATGAAGGATCTGCATGGCTGGATGCTGGACAATGTTCACCACAACGTGACTAACAGGAGCATTCTTTACATAGTGGAATTTCAAGTTCTTTACTTTCCTCTTCGAAGTTTTCTATACAGTTTTAATCTTTTTACGAAGAGTGTCACAGATTTCCAAAAACAATAAAGCAACATTAAAAAACAAATCTGAGGAAATTCTTTTGCAAAATGAATACTCTCCTCCCATTTTTCTATTTCCAGCTTCTGTTGTTTTTAAAGCAAAAACTTTATAATTCCTCAAATTTTAAATAATATTTTTTCAAGTTCATATACAGGCAAAAGATAAAGAGAAATATATCACAACATTTAAAACAGGTGGTATTTAGAGAGTGGGACCCCAAGTGGTGCTTTTTTCTTCCTTCTACTCTGTAGTTTAAAGTTTAAATAAATCAAAATATTTTTCTAAATCACCTTCCTCAGACCTGCCTGTTTATTTCTTAACTCTTTGCTTCCTCACCACCTGGCAGTGACAGTCAAAACAGAAACATACTTGTCTAAAGGAGACAAATTCATTCATGATCATGCTGGTGAAGTAGTCACATGCAGAGATGAGATCACAAGAGAAGTCCTGACTGCCAAAGGTGAAAGACGGTAGATTCTCATGAAGTTACCTGTCTCCACTTCAGCAATGTCAATAAAATGATCTTCCGATGCTGACGCCAGCATTTTCCCATCATGGCTGAAACTGAGGGTTCTTACAGGCCAATCCAGCCTATGATACAGAGTGGACAGAAGAGACAAGAGAATTACCAAGTAAGAGGAGGGAACAATGTCACTCACGATGAAATAAAATTAATGTACCCAACAAGGGAAGTGCTGATAGAGTCACTTACCTGGAAAAGCACCGAACACACACTAACTCATCCACATCCCAGAGGCTGACCAAAGCATCTGCACTTCCTGTGGCAAAGTACTTCCCCATGGGGTCAAACTTGATACAGATGCAGTTGGAAGGATGGGCGTTGATGGACTGCACAGGCTTCAGTTCTGGGTAGCTGAGAAAAAAGACAGCGATCAAACTGCAGAAGAGGACTGTGGTGCTAAAACAATAATAGGAGATGATGAAGAAGAAAAGCAAAGATAATAGACCACCACCAAGAACTGTCATTCAAGATAACATTCCTGAAATAAAAAAAGATTTTGAACTACATTATTTAAAAAGCACAACACATACCTGAGACTACAGAACCAAAGTTACCAACATCGAGACAGAGACTAGCAAAATTAGTGGACTTTAAAGAAAAAGAAAATTAGATTATTGGGCTTTCTGACAACAACACTTAATGCCAAAAGAAAATGGAGTACCATATTTAAGAAAGATACACAAGCGAGAAAACGAGCCAAGGATTTTTACATCCAGCAAAACTGAATTTCAAATATAATGATACAAACAATAAGCACAATAACGTTTTATAAAATCTGTAAGTTTTAGAATTACGTAAATAAGTTGTAATAAAAACTCCAGGAATAATGTTCCCATGAACGCTTCCCGAGGAATCTTAACTAGAGAATGAGCTTCAATTAAAAAAATGACTAGAGACTTATAAGGACTGGTGCTGAACACTGAATATACAGTTTCTTGCAAAAACTATACATGGTTTAAAGAGAGGGTATAATATGTAACATGTGCACATGCTTACAACATATAGTACTATTTTTTTAATGGGGGAAGAATGGAAAGAGCATATGCAAAAACCAAAAACATTTTTTGTTTCAAGTCATCACATTGGTGGTAGCAGCAGTAATATTGTTGTTCTGAGACATCTATATGTTTACCATGGGAGATAGGTAATAAGTAACCATCGGATATTCTAATTCTATGATCCCCTGTGCCCTTGAGAACCAGAATACTCAATTTGGGAGGAAAGAAATATATTTGTAATATAGAAGAGGTTTAGTAAAATCCCTGGAGTCCTCAATTTTGATTGCAAGTTATCAATGTGAATTCATAAGGTATTTTATCTTTAAATATATACACACACACACACACACACACACACACGTAATTCCTAGGCCAACCCAGCAGTAATGAACATTCCTAACTTCAGTATCATTTCTCAGTAAAAGAATGTAAGGCTCCTTTTTTTTTTTTTTTTTTTTTTGAGGTGGAATCTCACTCAGTCGCCCAGAATGCTGGAGTGCAGTGGTGCAATCTAAACTTACTACAACCTCCGCCTCCCGGGTTCAAGCGATTCTCCTGCCTCAGTCTGCCAAGCAGCTGGGAATATACACGTGCGTCACCACGCCCAGATAATTTTTGTATTTTGAGTAGAGACAGGGTTTCTCTATGATTGCCAGGTCTCAAGTGATCCACTCGCCTCGGCCTCCCAAAGTGCCAAAGTGCTGGGATTACAGGCGTGAGCCACCGCACCCAGCCAGAATGTTAAGGCTTCTTGGAGAATGTTCTGATTAAAGGTCTGGGGCAAGAAATGCACAAGATGAACTTGGAACATCTTATCAAACCAGAGAGCAAAAAAACAGAAGACGATGGGATTATGTCAAAAAAGGTCTCAGGAACCAACTTGAAGAGGTTCTTATTGGCCAAAGATGGGATAATTTGAGCTTCAACAGGCATAACAATTACAAGAGATGGAAACACACCAACTATGTTTAAAAACATCAGCCCGTAATGATTCTTTAAAAAAAAAAACACCTAACTGCTCATCTTTGGAGGTAGCAGGAAACAAAATCATTATCTGACAAACAGAATCAAAATTTTATCCTGCCTTCCCTACATGAACTACACTACTGGGTAACCACATCGCAGATGAGAAGCAGCATCTCTTTACACAACAGTCCAACACATAAACAGCATATGGAATCAGCAAAAGCCAAACTGGGAGAATCTCCACAGGTTAACAGTCTGGTTTTTCAACAGCTACGTTTTCGGAAGTTTCTTTTGAGTAATTTAAGAGATACAAAACACATATCAATTTTTTTTTTTTTTTAATGAGCAAAACTAGGGTATCTAGGGGCTGCACATGTGGTAGATAAACTATGAAGAAACACTATAAAAGTCAGGATAGTGTTTGCTTTTGTGGAAGGAAGTTGTAATTAGGACAAAACACCTGGATGGACTTCTGGGATGGCTGGAAAGAACTACTTCTCAACTTGGGCGGGGTTGCACAAGAGTTAAGCCTATAAGAGTTCATTAAGCTATACATTTATTTTATGTGGTTTTCAATATCTGTGTTTTATAATAAAAAGATTTTTCTTAAAAAGTTATAGAATCCCCATTGCCTACAAAATAAAACCCAAGATACTAAGCATAAAATAAAGGCCTTTTATAATCTGGTCCCAAATTAGACTTCATCTTCCCATTATCATGCCCTCTCTTATTTCCCTTATCTGCCACCACTCCCCCAACAACCCTGACCTAACCACTCTCCAAGTAAGTCATGCTCACTCACACCTGCTTTGTCAGTTATGTGGTTCCCTTTTGCTTATTCTTAAAATTCTGCTCATCTTTCAAGATCAAGCTCACAAGCTCCCTCCTTCAACCCCCCATATAGTATGTCTGTTCTTTCCATGGAATTTCACAGCAAACTCCTGGCCTCCCACTCACAGAACCTATCTCACTTGGTCTTGCATTGTTCACCTGGGATAGTGGAAGGCTAGAATTGAACAGACCTGAATTTCAGCTCCACAGTTTCATTCATTTACAGAACAAATATTTACTAAGATCCTACTACGTGGAGCAGGTACAGGACTAGACATTAGGGATTCAACACTAAACAAGGCAAACACCATCCCTACCATCAAGGAATTCACAGTCTAACAGGAGACACAGGCAAATAAACATGCAATTACAATATAGAAAGAAAAGTGCTTCCTACAGAAAGTATATAAAATACGCCTCTAACCTACCTCTAACCTTGGGGTAGCGGGGGAGCTTCCCTGAAGGCAAAGTGATATTTCAGTTGAAACTTTAAGAGTACGAATTAGCCAGAGGTCGGGCTAATCACCTGAGGTTGGGAGTTGGAGACCAGCCTGACCAACATGGAGAAACCCTAAACTACAAAAAATACAAAATTAGCCAGGTGTGGTGGCACATGCCTCTAATCCCAGCTACTTGGGAGGCTGAGGCAGGAGAATCGCTTAACCCCGGAGGCAGAGGTTGCGGTGAGCCAAGATCACACCATTGCACTGCAGCCTGGGCAACAAGAGCAAAACTCTGTCTCGAAAAACAAAAAAAAAGGGAGTATGAATTAGCCATAATTCAAGGTGCATCCAGTTCTAGCACACACTAGCTGACTACTGATGTAACCTCTCACCCTCAGATCCTCATCTGTCAAATGAGAAGCAAATCATCAACCCCTAGAATTTCTGTAAGGACTCAGTAAAATATAAAGTATATAAAATATACAGCTCAAATGTACTTAAGACAGGTTAGGATTCTCTCTTACTATTTGTGTTTTAAGCTCCTTCAGGATAGGCTCACATCTAATTCATCTCCATATCTGACACAGCACCCAGCACAAAGACATGACAGTCCCCTAAGCTAGACCCCCTCACCTGAGGATGTTGATACAACCATTGCCATTTGTCAGGAAGAACATATTATTGTCATTGTTCCAGGAGATTTCGTTGACCTCGAACTTGAACTGCTCTTCTGCTTTGGAACGGTGTGTCTTGGCATCAATAAAGGTCACCACATCATCCTTGTTGCCTACAGCAATGGTCTGCCCATCAGGACTCCAGCAGATATTAATGTTCTCCCCTGGGAACCCAGACATAATCAGCAAGATAATCTGTTTGCTCATAATCCTCTACAAGTTTATTGCACTATCCTAGAAAGAAGACCAGAGCTTTCTTCCGGGCTTACTCATTAAAGTCCTAGACAATGGAAGGGAGCTACCACTTACGATTCAACAATAAGTCCAGAACTTTCATCTACACATTTCCCCATTTGGTCTTCACAATACTCCTCTAACATACACTTTATTATCTCCATTTATAAAATCTATAAGATTTTATAGATGAAGGAAATAGGAGATAAGACGACAAGCCAAAGTGTCAAAGCTATGAAGTCAAAGAGCTATGAAGTGGCGCGATCTCGGCTCACTGCAAGCTCCACCTCCTGGGTTCACGCCATTCTCTCGCCTCAGCCTCCCGAGCAGCTGGGACTACAGGCGCCTGCCACCACACCAGGCTAATTTTTTTGTATTTTTAGTAGAGACGGGGTTTCACCGTGTTAGCCAGGATGGTCTCGATCTCCTGACCTCGTGATCCGCCCGCCTTGGCCTCCCAAAGTGCTGGGATTACAGGTGTGAGCCACCGTGCCCGGCCGAGCCAAGATTTTAAACCCAGATTTGACCCCAAAGCCCCCTTTTCTCTTACACCAGCATTTCTCAACTCCAGCCATTCGCATGCCAACATCACAATTTTTGTCCTATCCATTAAACACTATACTTTTCTTTATTCAAGATTTTTCTTAAAATTGATTCAAAAAAGTTTACTTAAATAAATTTAGCAGCCAGCTGTGGAGGCTCAAGCCTGTAATTCCAGCACTCTGGGAGGCCAAGGTAGGCAGATCACTTGAGTCCAGGAGTTCAAGATCAGCCTGGGCAATATGGCAAAACCCGTCTCTACAAAAAATTAGCCAGGCATGGTGGCATGTGCCTGTAGTCCCAGCTACTCAGGAGGTTGAGGTGGGAGGATGGCTTGAGCCCAGGTGGAGGCTGCAGGGAGCCAATATTATGCCACTGTACTCCATCCTGGGTAACAGGGCAAGACCCTGTCTCAAAAATAAAAATAAAATAAAATAAATAAAAATAAAATAAATTTAGCTTCAACTGAATAATAAATTCTATGTGCTAGTTCTTCTAGTAGACATTAAGATATTTGCAAAACTGGTTTTTAATGTTCACCCACGCATCACCTGAATCACTCATGGATCAGCAGCTGTATACTTGGGGAAAAACCACACCATTCCGCCTCCAGAGATAAGTCTTGTCAACAAAGTCCAGTGGCCCACACTGAACACATCAATTAAAAATTTCACCAACTTTTTCCATTCTAAAACGCATATTTTCTCACATTTTAGTATCTACACTGTATCTTAAAATGTATCAGAAAGCATTTCAAAATTTTGGGTGTATCACAGTTATTTACCAACTTTCTTTCCTAATGGAACATCTTACGATCAATGAAAACTCAGAGTCCCATACAATACCGGCCTCAATACTTACAACAGAGCCTATAAATGTACTGCACAACTTTCTCCCAGATCACCAAGACCATCCAAGTTTCAACCATTCTAACTCATCAGAATTTTCCAAATTCTCCATGCCTTTGCACATGCTGTTCCCTCCTGGAAATGTCCCATTCCCCACCCACAGCACCCTGACCACTCAACTCCTATGGCTACCCTAAAAGTTTGCTCAAATTTGGTGAGGCCTTCCCTGGCTCCCCTAGGCAGACTTTTGTTTTCATTTCTATTCTGGGTATCCACCTTGCAGACCTCTCCATTATAAAATGAACCATATCTTGCTATGTTATTTGTATATATATGTCTTCTCCCCGCAGGGGAGGTCCTTGGAGCTGGAAACTCTTATTCAGCTCAGGATGTCTCATACACAGCTGAGTGCCAGGCACAGAAAAGATATTCGGAAAATGGTTGTTGAATGAATCCAAACAGCTTATCTTCCTATTGCCCTCTCTCTGAATAGTCACCTTTAGTGTTCACAGTGGCAATGCATTTTGTAGTCCTCACATCCCAGATGCGAATGGTTTTATCTCCGGACGCCGTAACAAATAGGTCAGGATTACTTGGATGCCAACAAAGCTGGTCCACACTATCCCCATGTCCCCGATAATTGTTTTCTTTGACCTGAAAGAACAGAATCCAGATGTGACTTCACATAGATGTAACTGCCTCCGCATGTAACTTTATAAGCTTATTCAAACCAAAGTATGCTGGGACCAGTAAAGATCTGGGTAATTCAGAATCCAGTTCCTCCAAGCCCTTTCTCCCTTCTCTTCTCCGCAGGCCTTCTGAACTGTTTTTCTCAGCTTCCACACCTATGCCCTTACTTTTGTGCCCTCCCTGGCCTTCTCCTCCTTCCTGGTTTTCCACCCTTACTCTACCACCAACGTACCACCAACGTACCACCAACGTACCACCACCACCACCACCACCACCACCACAGCCCCTAGCCACTTCTTATCAGCACAGGATTCGACTCCAAACGAGTAAGGCTCCCATCGCAGCCCTGTCCCATCCACCCTCTCCTCACCTTCACCCGCCATCGCCAACCTCCTTACTTCCACACTCTTCACACGCCCCCAGTCTTCCTCTCCTCACCCCTCACGACCCCGTCACCCCCACACTCCACCTTCTCCCTACTCCCTCCTCATCTCCACACTCCCCCTTTCCCCTTCCCTCAAACCCACTCTCCTTTCACCCCCGCGGCTCCGTTCGCCCCCATTCGCTCTCCCACTACCGCACCTCACTTCACCACGGCCCCTCTCCCTAGCCTGAGCCGAGCCCCGGCAGCTCACCAACCGGTCCTTCTCCAGCAAGAAGACGCTGGCCGTCTTGTCGAAGGACCCCGAGGCTAGGCGACGCCCGTCGCAACTCCAGGCCACCGAGTGCACCTTGGCGCTGTGCGCCAGAACTCGCGCGTCTTGCTGTGGCCCCGGAACAGCTCCTGCATCCCAAGCACGTAGCGCGACGGGCCGCTGCTCACTGAGCACCACGGGGCCATCGAGCCGGGACCGCTCTGGCCCAACGCCGAGGGCCCCATGGCTGCAGCGGGGACCGCCATGCCGAGCTCCCCAGCTTCCAACTCACAACACTGCAGCAGCCTCCACGGCGCAGTCAGTCCTGGCGCCGCTGCCGCACGCATGCGCCCGGAAGAGGGACGGCCCCTCTGCGCAGGCGCGCTGTACCCCGCCCCGGAAGGGACTACAAATCCCGGTATGCAGCGCGTGCCCGCGTCTGCTTACTTAGTAATATTTGGTTCTTTTAACTCCAAATATGCTTCACACTTAACGATTCCGAGTTTTTTTAGTGTTCTTATTTCTCCCTTACCTATTCTTTGGTAGATATATGTGTATTCCTGTTTAATCGAATAAAAGAACCAACACTAACCTTCTAAACAGTTAACTCATCACCTTTCTTCTGGGGTTGTTCCCTAATCCCTAGTCCCCTCCCTTAAGAGCAGAAAGCTCTGGTCTTTTTGCTGGAGAAGGACCAGCTGGTGAGCTTGTCCCATGAAAAGGGCTAGCGGGTGTGGAGTGAGGGAAGAGGTGTTAAGAAGGGGTCTGGAGGTTTTGTTTTTTTTTTTAAATAAAAATGGATTTTTTGTTTTTAAAAGGTAATGGCAGAGGCGTGTGAACCAGAGCAACTCTATCTTAAATAGGAACTGGGTGAAATGAGGCTTAAACCTACTGGGCTGCATTCCCAGACTGTTAAGGCATTCTAATCACAGGATGAAATAGGAGGTCAGCACAAAATACAGGTCATAAAGACCTTGATGATAAAACAGGTTGCAGTAAAGGAACCGGCCAAAACCCACCAAAACCAAAATGGCGATGAGAGTGACCTCTGGTCATCCTCACCTCTACACTCCCACCAGTGCCAGGACAGTTTGTAAATGCCATGGCAACGTCAGGAAGTTACCCTATACGGTCTAAAAAAGGGAGGCATGAATAATCCACCACTTGTTTAGCATATCATCAGGAAAAACCATAAAAATGCGCAACCAGCGGCCCTCGGGGCTGCTCTGTCTATGGAGTGGCCATTCTTTTATTCCCTTTACTTTCTTAATAAACTTGCTTTCACTTTGCACTGCGGACTTGCCCTGAATTCTTTCCTGAGTGAGATCCAAGAACCCACTCCTGGGGTCTGGATTGGGACCCTTTTCCTGTAACAGTATTACATGCACATGATTGTAAATATAAAAATAAAAGATATAGAGTGAAAAGTAAATGTCCACCTGCGTATCCACCCCACCTCTCATATCTCCCTTAAACCAGTGGCTTCTTGCTGGAGAAAAAAGGGGTGGTGAGCTGCCAGCGCCAGTCAAGGCCCTGGAGAAGAGCTGAGGGGGGAAGGTTTTGGTGGTGAGTAGTAGTGGTAAATGTGTTTAAAAACCCAATTTTTAAAAGGCAACACGTGCACTTGGTAACAAATGTAAAATGTATAAAAGGGAATAGATTGAAAAGCTTCCCTCCATCCTGTGTCCCCAAACTTCTCTTCTGAAAAAGTTAAATTTCTTGTGTGGCCTTCCAGAGACAGTGTAAGTAAGCACCTGGGCAAGGTAGATAGGTGTGTGCATAACCTCTCCCAACACACTGCCAAAAAGGTAGCATTCCTTACACAACTTGCTTCCTATGGTAAATATGTATAGGAAATCATTTCTTGTCAGAAAATGCAGACGTCTCATTCTTCTCAATGGTGGCAGTCTTTATATGAATATATAATATTCAACTGATCCCTTCATGAATTTGCTTTTAGAACAATATTAGAACAATATTGCAGTGAATATCCCTATACAACCTTCATTGTACACATCTGCACTTTTTTATTTGGATATATATTGCCAAAACACCTATGAAGAGGTTTAATAATTTATACTTCCACCAGCAACATAAGAAAGTGTCAGAAGGTCCTAGGTACTAAATGAGTACACATATAAAGCATATGGCTCTCAGAAGGACCGTAGGAAATAAGGTCCCTCTCTTTCCCCAATCTTTTCCCTACCCCATTGCAACCAGAAATTCTTGGAAACTACAAAGCTTTTCAGACTCCAAGAATACCACTGAAGTCTCTAAAATCTTGGAGTAGGAAACTATTTGGTGTCTAGTTTTCTTCCTTACCCCTCTTTTTCAGGAATCTTCATATATATATATATTTAGATATTTTTCCTACATTTTCCCTGTATTTTGTATTTTTTTTTTTTTTTTTTTTTTTGCTGCATACACTGAGGATTTACAAGTCCCTACCAAGATACAAAAACTGAAGTAGAAAGAGGTAAAATGTCCTGGTCCAGGTCACATGACTATCATGTGACAGAGCAAAGGTTAGAACTCAGATGTTACTGACTCTAAAATCTACACTCTGATTCTCAGTATCTGAAATCACGTAAATGTGATTCTTTGTATTTCTGCATTCATTTTGTATTTTTGTATGTAATGTATATTTTTTATTTTTTAATTTTTTTTTGAGATGAAGTTTTGCTCCTATTGCCCAGGCTGGAGTGCAGTGCGATCTTGGCTCACTGCAACTTCCGCCTCCCAGGTTCAACCAAGTCTTCTGCCTCAGTCTCCCGAGTAGCTGGGATTACAAGCACCGCCACCATGCCTGGCTAATTTTTTGTATTTTTGGTTGAGATGGGGTTTCGCTATGCTGGCCAGGCTGGTCTCGAACTCCTGATGTCAGGTGATCCACCCGTCTCTGCCTCCCAAAGTGCTGGGATTACAGGCATGAGCCACCGCGCCCGGCCTGTAATGTATGTTTTTTACTTAATTTCCCCTTGTGTTCCTTTTCTATATTCTGTATACATGGATGTTAGAAACTCAGTTGTGATAAGTATATCCGACTGCTCTTGCCTGAGACAGAAACTGGTATAACATTTCAAGTTGGACTAGCACACATCTGGGGGCAATGTTGAGACTAAAGTCAGAGTCTCTCAAAGGGGAGATAAAATTGAGGGGAACAGAGTCATGGGCCATTTTTTAAAACTTTTTATTTGGAAAAATTCAAATTTACAGAAAAGTTGCAAGAATAGTAAAAAGCACTGCTATTCCTGTGACACAGATTCACCGAATTGTAGCATTTTGTTCCACTTTTTTTCTTTTTTTAGTTTTATTTTTATTTATTTATTTTTTTGAGACACAGTCTTACTCTGTCACCCAGGCTGGAGTGCAGTGGCGCGATCTTGGCTTACTGCAACCTCCGCTTCCCAGGTTCAAGCGATTCTCATGTCTCAGCCACCTGAGTAGCTGGGATTACAGGCGTGCACCCCCACACCCGCTAATTTTTTGTATGTTTTGTAGAGATGGAGTTTCTCCATGTTGGCCAGGCTGGTCTCAAACTCCTGGCCTCACCCGCCTTGGCCTCCCAAAGTGCTGAGATTACAGGCCTGAGTCACTGTGCCCAGCCTCCATTTGCTTTCTCTACATATATCTACGTTACTACTCTTTTGTCTAAACATTTGGCAATTGTGCATTAGTCCGTTCTCACATTGCTATAGGGAACTACCTGAGACTGGGTAATTTATAAAGAAAAGAGGTTTAATTGGGCCAGGCACGGTGGCTCACACCTGTAATTCCAGCACTTTGGGAGGTCAAGGCGGGTGGATCACGAGGTCAGGAGTTCAAGACCAGCCTGGCCAAGATGGTGAAACCTCGTCTCTACTTAAAATATAATCAAATTAGCCGGGCGTGGTGGCGGGCGCCTGTAGTCCCAGCTACTTGGAAGGCTGAGGCAGGAGAATGGTGTGAACCCGGGAGGCGGAGCTTGCAGTGAGCCTAGATTGCACCACTGCACTCCAGCCTGGGCTACAGAGCAAAAAGCTGTCTCAAAAAAAAAAAAAAAAAAAAAAAAAAAAAGAGGTTTAATTGGCTCGTGGTTCCATAGGCTGTACAGGAAGCATGGCTGGGCAGGTCTCAGGAAACAGAGAGACAGGGAGGTGCCACATACTTTTAAACAGCCAGATGTCATAAGAACTCAGTCACTGTAACGAGAACAGCAAGGGGGAAATTCGCTCCGATGATCCAGTCACCTCTCACCAGGCCCCTCCTCCAACACTGGGGTTTACAATTGGAAATTTTCTCAGGGACACAAATCCAAGACCTATCACATTGTAAGTTGCATACATCTTACCCTTTACCCCTAAATATTTCAGTATTTCCTAAGAAATAGGATGTTCTGTTTCCTACCCCCAGTATAGTTATCGATGTTGGTAAATTGAACAGAAACATGGAATTTTATTTAATCTACTGTCTGTATTTCATTTGTGTCAATTTAGCCAGAAATGTTCTTTATAGCATTCTTTTCTTTCAGTACATGTTCCAGTCTAGAACCTCATACTATATTTAGTTATTATATGTCCTTAGTCTCCTTGAATCTATAAAGGTTCCCCAGCATTTCTGTGCCTATTATGACATCAACATTTTTGAAGAATGCAGTTGATGGACCGTTTTTACAGTTCCTTCTCTCACCTAGAAATTCTCTCTTAGGAGCTGATCAAAATCAAACTAAGAAATTTTTTACACATGTGAGTCTTGGGGACTTCAGGGTCATTCAAGGCAGAATCAGGCCATAAATAGTAATGCCAGAGATGACAGGATGTGTAGAGGGACAGGGGAAAAATCTTACAGTGAAAGAAGAGTAGGGGAGTCTTGAAGTATAAGTCCTTTGGGGGTCAGAGGACTTTAGAGAAGCTGATGTTGTAAAAGAAAACAGACTTGTCACCTCTGGCAAAGCCTCAACATATGGGTATGTATCCGTCAGGGTTCAGCCAGAGAAGCAGAACAACTGGAAGATAATTAGAATTATCAGGTAAGTGAAGAAATCAAACTAAAGAAAGGATAGAGTTTCATTTCAGCAGCTTAAAATTTTATATCACAAAGCTGATAATGTTACAACTTAATTATATACCAGACTAATATTCAGAACTAAAGCAGATATATATATGTTCTGCTTTAGTCATATATATGTGATTTTAAAATATAAATATATATTCATATATTTAAATGTTTATATGATAAAATACCTAGATATAAACTTATACAAAATATATTTAAAAATTTTACCAAAAATTACTAATTTTAAGAATTATTTAAGCTGGTGTGGTGGCTCACACCTGTAATCCCAGCACCTTGGAGGCTGAGGCGGGTAGACCACCTGATGTAAGGATTTTGAGACCACCCTGGCCAACATGGTGAAACCCTGTCTCTACTAAAAATACAAAAATTAGCTGGGCATGGTGATGCACAACTGTAGTCCCAGCTACTCAGGAGGCTGAGGCAAGAGAATCGAATGAATCCAGGAGATGGAGGTTGCAGTGAGTCGAGATCATGCCACTGCACTCCAGGTTGGAGGACAGAACAAGACTCTGTCTTGACAACAACAACAATAAGAGTTATTGAGAGGCCAATAAGAATTTTGGTGAAAAAACTAAAAAGGGAAAAATTAGGAAACCATTTATAGAGGAAATATCCATAGATGTAATTCAAAACAAACAAAAAATATTGCTCTACAGAATTCCTACTGCTCCCTTAAGTGTTTGGATATGCAAAACAGAGGCCTCACCGATTCTCCATATAAAGATGGGTTTAAGTGTTTAGATTGGGTATGGTCATGGGAGAGTTGAGTTGCTCTGTATGAAAATGAAAAGAATAGGCCGGGTATGGTGGTTCATGCCTGTAATCCCAGCATTTTGGGAGGCTGAGGCAGGCAGATCACCTGAGATCAGGAGTTCGAGACCAGCCTGGCCAATATAGTGAAACCCCATCTCTACTAAAAATACAAAAATTAGCCAGGCGTGGTGGTACATGCATATAGTTCCAGCTACTAGGAGGCTGAGGCAGGAGAATTGCTTGAACCCAAAAGGCGGAGGTTGCAGTAAGCCGAGATCGTGCCACTGCACTCCAGCCTGGGTGACAGAGTGAGACTCCATTTCAAAAAATAAAAAATTACATGAAAATGAAAAAAATAATTTAAAATATTTGGGGGAATACCAAGACAGAGCAGCACAAACCAGCAGAGTGGAGCACTGCATAGGTAGAAAGGGGAGATTTTAGGTCCCTTAGGACAGGTGGCTGTTTTTTCAAACGCCTTCTTAAAATCACAAGGCACACAAAGAAACAGGAAAATACGGCCTGATCAAAGTCAACAAAATAAATCTCCAAAAACCAACTCTAAAGAAACACAGGTTTCAGGCTTACTAAACAAAGACTTTAAAACAATGGTCTTTATTAAATATACTCAATGAGACACTGAATTAAAGGAAGCAGGAAAACAATACATGAACAAAATAGGATATCAGCAAAGAGACAAATTATTTTTAAAAAGAACCATACAGACATCCTAGAGTTGAAAAATAAGCTAACTGAATTGGAAAATTAACTAGAGGGGTTCAAAATCAGAATTGAATGGGCAGAAGAATCAGTGAACTTGAAGAAACATCATTTGAAATTATCAAGTCTGAGAAGCAAAAAGAAAAAAACAATGAAGAAAAGTGAACAGAGCCTAGGGAGCATATGGAACAACATCAAGTGGACCAAGTTATAAGCTATTGGAATTCCAGAAAGAAAAGAGAGAGACAGAGAGAAACACAGAGGGAAAAAAATAGACTTTTTTTTCTTTTTTAAATTAAGATGGAGTCTCACTCTGTCATCCAGACTGGAGTGCAGTGGCGTGATCTCGGCTCACTGCAACTTCCACCTCCCAGGTTCAAGCAATTCTCGTGTCTCAGCCTCCCAAGCAGCTGGGACTATGGGTGCGTGCCACCACACCCAGCTAAGTTTTTTTTTGTATTTTTTAGTAGAGAAGGGGTTTTGCCATGTTGGCCAGGTTGGTCTCGAACTCTTGACCTCAGGTGATCCACCTGCCTTGGCCTCCCAAAGTGTGGGATTACAGGCGTGAGCCACCACTCCCAGCCTAAAAATAGACACTAAGTAAAAATAAAACTGTTACAAGAAACAGGAGAATATTATATAATGGTGAAAGGGTCAATTCACCAAGAAGATATAACAATTAAAAACATTTATGCAATAAATATTAGAGCCTAAATATACATAGCAAACATTGACAGAATTGAAGACAGAAATAGACAACTTGAAAAAATAGTAGGAGACTTCAGTACTACCCTTTCAATAACGGATAGAACAACTAGACAGAAGATCAATAAGGAAATACAAGAACTTGAACAACACTATAGACGAAATGGCCCTAACAGACATAAACAACACAATCCACCTAACAATAGAATATACTTTTTTTAAAGTGCATTATGAAACATTCTCCAGGATAGAGGATGTGTTAGGCCACAAAACAAGTCTTAATGAATTTTAAAAGATTAAAATCATACAAAATATTGTTTCCAATCACAATGGAAAGAAACCAATAGCAAAAGTTGTGCTGAAAAATCCACAAATACATGAAAATTAAACAACACATTCCTTAATCCCAGATACTCAGGAGGCTGAAGTGGAAGGATCACTTGAGCCCAGGCATTTGAGGCTGCAGTGAGCTTTGATCATGCCACTGCACTCCAACTTGGATGATGGAGCAAGAGCTCATCTCTAAAGAAAACAAAAGAGAGAACAAAACAATACACTCTCAAATAACAATGGGTCAAAAGAAAAAAATCACAAGGGAAATTAGAAAATATCTTCAGACAAATGAAAATAAAAACAAATGTACCAAAATGTGTGGGATGCAGCAAACATAGTACTAAAAAGGAAATTTACAGCTGTAATTGCTTGCATACCAAATAAGAACCCAAATCAACAATGTAACTTTACACCTTAAGGAACTAGAAAAATAAAAAATGAAACTGAAACCTCGCAGAGGAAAAGAAATAATGAAGATTTGAGCAAAGATCAACAAAATAGAGAATAGAAAACAACTTTTAAAATTAAAAAACAAGAGTTGGTTCTTCCATAAGATCAGCAAAACTGCCAACTGACTAAGAAAATAAGAGAGAAGTCTCAAATAACTAAAATCAGAAATGAAAGGAGATATTGCTGCTGCTTTTACAGAAATAAAAAGGATCATAAGCTAGTAATGTGAATACCTATATGATGAAAAATTAGATAACTAGATGAAATGAATAAAATCCTAG